>NC_000020.11:29565353-29592644 GCF_000001405.40 Homo sapiens | reverse complement strand
TGCTGAATCAAAGCAAATGTGTACTCTTTTAGAGGAATCCACACATCACAAAGCATATTTCAGATCACTTGTTTCTAGTTTTAAAGCATGATATTCGGTTTTTCACTATATGCCTCATCGGGCTCAGAAATGTCTCATAGTAGATTTTCAAAAACAAGTGTTTCCTACCTGCTGAATCAAAACTACAGCTTAAATCTGTGAGATGACTCCAAACCTCACAAAGCATTTTCACAGACAGTTTTTTCCTAATTTTTATCACAGGATATTTGGTTTTTCAGTATAGGCCTCAATGAACTCTGAAATGTCCATTCATAGGTTCTATAAAAGTGTGCCCAATTCCCTGTATAAAAGCAAAGGTTTAACTCTGTGAAATGAATCTACACATTGGAAAGCACACAAATAGCTTGTTTCTAGCTTTTATGATGAGACATTTGATTCTTTACTATTGGCCTCAATGGTCTCAGAAATGTCTCTTTGCAGATTCTACAAAAAAAGTTTTTCATTTTTCTGAACAAAAATAAAGGTTTAACTCTTTGATATGAAATCACACATCACAAAGAATTTTCACAAATAGCTTGTTTCTAGGGTTCATCACTGGATATTGGGTTTTTCACTATAGGCTTCAATGGAGGCTTAATTGTAACTTCTTAATTCTACAAAAAGAGTGTCCCCCAACCTGCTGTATGTAAATAAAGGTTTATCTCTGTGAGATAAATCTTCACATTGCAAAGCATTTTCCCTGATAGCTTGTTTCTAGTTTTTATCTCGGGATATTGATTTTTCACTATAGGCTTCAATGGGCTTTGAAAGATTCCTCTGTAGATTTCACAAAAAGAGTGTTTTAACCTGCTGAATCAAAACAACGTTTAACTTTTTGAGATAAATCCACACATCACAAAGTATTTTCACAGGTAGTTTTTTTTTTTTTTTTTTTTTTTTTTTTAGATAGAGTCTCACTCAGTCACCCAGGCTGGAGTGCAGTGGCCTGATCTCGGCTTCCTGGGTTCACGCCATTCTCCTGCCTCAGCCTCCCAAGTAGCTGGGACTACAGGTGCCCGCCACCAGGCCTGGCCAATTTTTTGTGTTTTCAGTAGAGACGGGGTTTCACCATGTTAGCCAGGATGGTCTCGATCTCCTGACCTTGTGATCTGCCTGCCTCAGCCTCCCAAAGTCCTGGGATTACAGGCGTGAGCCACCACACCTGGCCAATAGCTTTTTTTACTTTTATTGTGCGATATTGGTTTTTCACTACAGGCTTATATTGGCTTCAAATTATACCCTCATAGATTCTACAAACAGTGAGTTTTCAAGCATCTGAAGCAAAATAAAGGTTTAACTTTGTAAGATGAATCTGCACATTATTGCTGGATATTCGGTTTTTCACTGTAGGCATCAATTTGCTCTGAAATGTCCTATTGAAGATTTTACCAAAAGAGTGTTTCCATCCTGCTGAGTCAAAAGAATGGTTTAATTCTGTGAGATGAAATCACCAATCATAAATCATTTTCAGAGACAGCTTCATATAGTTTTTATCTCAGAATATTCGGTTTTTCACTATAAGCCTCAATGGGCTTTGAAATACATCCTCATAAATTGTACAAAAAAAAAAGCAGTTTCCAAACTGTTGAATCAAAACAAATATTTAATGTTGTGAGATAAATTCAAATATCGCAAAGCATTTTCACAGATTTTTTTTCTAGTTTTTATCGTGGAATATTCGGTTTTTCACTATAGTCTTCACTGGGCTCAGAAATGCCCTTTGTAGGTTCTACAAAAAGAATGTTTCTAACCTGCTGAACCAAAACAAAACTTTAACTCTTTGAGGTGAATCCACACATTGCAAGCATTTTCACAGATAGCTTGTTTCTACTTTTGATCGCAGAATATTGTATATTTTACAATAGGCCTCAAAGTGCTCAGAAATGTCCCCTCTTAGATTCTACTAAAAGAGTGTTTCCAAAATGCTGTATAAAAATAAAGGCTTAACACTGTGAGATGAATCGACACATCACAAAACATTTTCACAAATAACTTGTTTTTACTTTACGTCACGAGATATTCAGTTTTTCAATATATTCCTCCATGGGCTCTGAAATGTCCCTTCATAGATTCTATGAAAAGACTGTATCCAACTGACTGAATCAAGACAAAGGTATAACTCTGTGGGAGAAATCCACACATCACAAGGCATTTTCACTGATGGCTTTTTTCTAGTTTTTATCATGGGATAATTGGTTTTTGACTATAGGCCTCAATGGGCTTCAAAGTGTCCCTTTGTAGATTCTACAAAAAGAGTGCTTCAATCCTGCTCAATCAAAGCAAAGGTTTAATTCTCTGAAATGAATCTACACATCACAAATCATTTTCCAATATAGCTTGTTTCTATTTTTTATTGTGGGATATTTGATGTTTTACTTTAGGCCTCAATGGGCTCTGAAATGTGTCTTCTTAGATTCTACATAGAGTGTTTCTCACCTGCTAAATCAAAACAATGGTTTAACTTTGTGAGATAAGTCCACACATTGCAAAGCATTTTTACTAATAGCTTATATCTGATTTTTATCATGGGATATTCAGTTTTTTCAGTGTAGGCCTCAATGGTCTCTGAAATGTCCCCTCGTAGATTCTACAAATAGAGTGTTGCAACCTGATAAATCAAACCTTTAATTCTGTGAGATAAATCTATAAATCTACACATCTCAAAGCATTTTCACAGATAGCTTGTTTCTGGTTTTTATCACGGGATATTTGATTTTTCACTGGAGACCTCAATAGGCTCTGAAATGTCCCCTCATAGAGTCTACAAAAAGAGTGTTTTCAACCTGCTGAATAAAAACAAAGGTTTAACTCTGTGACATAAAATAACAGATCATAAAACATTTTCACAGTTGGCTTGTTTCTAGTTTTTATCACGTGATACTCAGTTTTTCATGACAGGGCACAATGGGCTCCAAAATGTCCCTTTGTACATTCTACAAAAAGAATGATTTTGGTCTGCTGAATAAAAACAAAGGTTTTATACTGTGAGAGGAATCCACACATAGGAAGGAATTTTCACAGATAGCTTGTGTCTAGTTTTCATTGCAGGATGTTCAGTTTTTTCATATACTTCTTGATGGACTCTGAAATGTCCCTTCATAGACTACAAAGAAAGCATTTACAACCTGCTGAATAAAAACAAAGGTTTAACCCTGTGAGTTGAATCCACACATCACAAAGCATTCTCATATATAGCTTGTTTCTAGTTTTTATCTTGAGATATAACATTTTTAACTTTAGGCCTTAATTTTCTCTGAAATTTGCCATTTTAGTTTCTACAAAAACAGTGTTTCAACCTGCTGAATTAAAACAAGGTTTAACTCTGTGATATGAATTGACACATCACAAAGTATTTTCACAGATAGATTTTTACTAGTTTTTGTCATGGGATTTTCAGTTTTTCACTAATGTCTTTCATGTACTCTGAAATGTCCCTATGTAGATTTTACAAAAAGAGTGTTTCCGACCTACTGAATCAAAATAAGTGTTTAAATCTGTGAGATATATCCATACATTGCAAAGCACTTTCACAGATTGCTAGTTTCTAGCTTTTATCATGAGATACTTGGTTTTTCACTATAGACCTCAATAGGCTCCCAAATGACTCTCACAGATTGTACAAAAAGAGGGTTTTCAAAGTGCTGAATCAAAATAAAGATTTAACTCAGTGAGGTGAATCCACACATAGCAAAATATTTTCACAGATAGCTTGGTTTTGTTTGTTTGTTTGTTTTGTTTTTATTGTGGGATATTTCATTTTTCACTATAGGCCTCAATGGGCACCAAAATGTCTTCTCCTAGATTCTACAAACTGACTGTTTCCAACTTGCTTAATCAAAACAAAGGTTTAACTCTGTGATGTGAATACACACATCCCAAAGGATTTTCACAGATAGCTTGTTTGTAGTTTATATCTCCTCGTATTTTGTTTTTCACTGTAGGTTTCAATGGGTTTTGAAATGTTTCTTCGTAGATTGTGCAAAAAGAGATTTTAAAGTCTGCCAAATTAAAACAGTTGTTTAACTCTTTGAGATGAATCTGCACACTGCAAAGCATTTTCACAGATAGCTTGTTTCTAGTTTTTATCATGGGATATTCGGTCTTTCACTGTAGTAGTCCTCAATGGACTCTGAAATGGCCCTTAGTAGATTCTACAAAAAGAGTGTTTCCAACCTGCTGAATCAAAACAAATGTTTGATTCTGTGGAAGGAATCCACACAATGCAAAGCATTTTCACAGATAGCTGGTTTGTAGTTTTTATTGCAGGATATTCAGTGTTTTAATGTACTTCTCCATGGGCTCCGAAATGTCCCTTCATATATTCTACAAAAATAGTGTTTTCAACATGCTGAAAAAATAACATATGTTGAACTCTGAGAGATGATTCCCCAAATCACAAGACCTTTTCACAGATAGCTTGTTTCTAGTTTTCACTGTGGGATATTTAACTTTTCACTATAGGTCTCAATGAGCTTTGTAATGTCCTTTTGTACAATCTGCAAAAAGAGGGTTTCCAGCCTGCTGAATCAAAACAAAGGTTTAACTCTGTGAGATAGATCCACACATTGCAAAACATTTTCACAGATATCTTCTTTCTACTTTTCATTGTAGGATACTCGCTTTTTCCAAATACTTCTCCAGGGGCTCCATATTGTCCCTTTGTAGATTCCACAAAAAGAGTGTTTCCAACCAGCTAAATCAAAACAAAGGTTTAACTCTGTGGAGTTAAATCTATGCATTGCAAAGCATTTTCACAGATAGCCTGTTTCTTATTTTTATCACAGGATATTCAGTTTTTCACCATAGGACTCAATGGGCACTAAAATGTCTTCTCATAGATTCTAAAAACAGACTGCTTTCAACCTGCTTAATCAAAAGAAAGGTTTAACTCCATGATATGAATCCACACATTGGAAAGCATTTTCACAGATAGCTTGTTTGTAGTTTTTTTCTCCACATGTTTTGTTTTTCACTATAGGCTTCAATGGGCTTTGAAATATTTCTTTGTAGATTCTGCAAAAAGAATGTTTCCAACCTGCATATTTAAAACACTGGTTTAACTCTGTGGCATGAATCCACAATGGCAAAGCATTTTCACAGATAGCTTTTTTCTTGTTTTTTTTTTTTTTTGGGTGGGGGGAGATATTTGATCTTTCACTGCAGGTCTCAATGGGCTCTGAAATGGCCCTTCATAAATTCTACATAAAGAGTGTTTCCATTCTGCTGAATCAAAACAAATATTTAACTCTGGAAGATGAATCCACACATCCCAAAGCATTTTTACAGATAGGTTGTTTCCATTTTTTATCATGAGATATTAGGGTTTTCACTATAGGTTTCAATGGGCTCTGAAATGTTTCTTCGTACATTCTAGAAAAGGAGTGTTTAAATTCTGATTGAACTGAATGTTCAGATTCTGCCGAATCAGAAGAAAGTTTTAACTCTGTGAGTTGGATCCACACATTGCAAATCTTTTTCACAGATAGCTTGCTTCTAGTTTCTTTCATGGGATATTTGGTCTTTCACTATAGGCCTCAATGGGCTCTGAAATGTTTTTATGTAGAATCTACAAAAACAGTGTTTCCAAACTGCTGAATTAAAACAAAGTTTTAAATATGTGACATTATTTCACATATCACAAAGCATTTTCGCAGATAACTTGTTTGTAGTTTTTATCATGGGATATTCTGTTTCTCACTATAGGCCTCAGGGGTTCAAAATGTCTTTCCTTAGATTTACAAAAAACGTGTTTCTAGCCTGCTGAATGATAACAAATATTTAACTCTGTGAGATGAATCCAGACACTGCCAGTCGTTCTCACAGATAGCTGTTTTCTAGTTTTGTGTGTGAGGGATATTCGCTTTTTTACAATATGCCTCAAAGGTCTCAGAAATTCCCATTCGTAGATTCAACAAAAAGAGTGTTTCCAAATTGCTGAATTAAAACAGTGGTTTAACTCTGTGAGATGAATCCAAACATTGCAAAGCATTTGGACAGATATCTTCTTTCTAGTTTTTATCACAGGATAATTGATTTTTCATTATGGGCCTCAAAGGTCTTTGAAAATGCTCTTCATAGATTCTACAATAAAAGTGTTTTCAACCTGTTGAATCAAAGATTTAACTCTAGGAGATGAATCAACACATCACAAACCATTTTCACTGATACCTTATTTCTAGTTTCTATCATGGGATATTCAGTTTTTCACTGTATGCCTCAAAGGGCTCCGAAATGTCCCTCCAAAGATTCTACAAAAAGAGTGTTTCCAAAATGCTAAATAAAAAAAGTTTAACTCTGTGAGAAGAATCCACACATCACAAAACATTTTCACTGATAGCTTGTTTTTAGTTTTCATCGTGTAATATTTGTTTTTTGTGTTTGTTTATTTGTTTGTTTTACTATAGGCCCCAATGAGCTCTGACATTTTTTCTTTTTAGATTCAACAAAAAGAGTGTTTCCAACCTATGGAATCAAAAGAAAGGTTTAAATTTGTAAGATGAATCGACACATCACAAAGCATGTTCACAGATAGCAAACTTCTAGTTTTTTTCCGCAGGATATTCTGTTTTTCACTGTAGGCCTCAATGGGCTTTGAAAAGTTTATTGGTAGATACTACAAAAAGACTGTTTTCAACCTGATGAATCAACAGAAAGGTATAACTCTTTGAGATGAGCCCACACATCCTAAAGCATTTTCGCACATAGCTTACTCCTAGTTTTTATCATGAGATATTCTGTTTTTCACTATAGACCTCCATGCGCTCCGAAATGTCCCTTTGTAGATTCTACAGAAAGAGTGTTTCCAAATTGTTGAATTAAAACAAAGGTTTAACTGTGTGACATTATTTCACAGATCACAAAGCATTTTCACAGATAGCTTGTTTCTAGTTTTTATCGCAGGATATTTGGTTTTAAACTCCAGGCCTCAATGTGCTTCAAAATGTCTCATCTTAGATTCTACAAAAAAACATGTTTCCAACATGCTGAATCAAAACAAAAAGTTGGCTCTGTGAGATAATTCCATGCCTCGCAAAGCCTTTTGACAGATAGCTTGCATTAAGTTTTCATCACGGGATATTCCATTTTTCTCTATAGGCATCAGTGGGCTCCAAAATGTCCCTTTGCAGATCCTACAGTGAAAGTGTTTCTAAACTGCTGAATTAAAACAAAGATTTAGCTTTGTGAGATAAATCCAGACATCACAAAGCATTTCACTGATAGTTTGTTTCCAGTTTTTATCACAGGATAGTCAGTTTCTTACTATAGGCCTCAATTTGCTCTGTAATATCCCCTCTTAGATTCCAGAAAAGGAGAGTTTCCAGCCTACTGAATCACAAGAAATGTTTAACTCTGTGAGATAAAATCACACATTGGAAAGCATTTTCAGACATAGCTTCTTTGTAGTTTTTAATCGTGGGATATTTGGTGTTTCCACTATAGGCCTCAATGGATTTTGAAATTTTCCCTCATAGGGACACAAAAAAAGTGTCTTTATCCTTCTGAATCAAAACAAAGTTTTAACTGTGAAAAGAAAATCCACACATAGCAAAGCATTTTCACCATATCTGCCAACAAGGAAACTCTTGTTCTCCCACTCTTATCAGAGGGCTGCATGATTCCTATAGGATGAGAAGCAGGCAGCGGTGTCAGGATTTGCCTGGTCATCTAGGCTCTGTTACAGTCATCTACATGTTCTTTTTCACTGTGGAGGGGATCTTTTATTGATCTGTTGCTACGGGGGACTGCCTCTCTCTACAGATCTTTTGGCTGCCAGGGATTTCAGGGAGTAAAAAGTACTTCGGGTAGGCTGGCTGCACTCCAGGTTGTGAGTAGTGGTCTCACTGTGGGGGATTGGGGTGTTTGCAGGAGGCTTTTGGGTCCTCTGGCAGGAATCCTTGAACATGGCTTGGATGCTAGCACAGGCCCTCTCATTCTCCAAGGCAAGAATTGATTTTCCATTGCTTTCATGAGGAGTCCATACTACTCTTCATCAGCGCTCCTAAACACACTTTTTTTGGCTTGCAATTGCCTCAGACGGCGACTGAGACACTCTCTGAACTGCATCTGCACTCGTGAGGTCTGTTCAAAGTGTGAGACTTCTGCTTCACCTTCAACTTGCCTTTGTCATAGTTCCTGCCTTTCCCAGAGAGCCATGTTGAGTAGCAGGAGCCCCTGTGAGGCCCAGGATGAAGAGAGGCAGTGAGCTCAAGGGCCCTGCCATTTTCTGCTGACATCTGCCTCTGGGGTCTTCGGTATGATTTCATCACCTGGACACCCCTTAACATCTCAGCAGACTGTATTCCCTTCCCCCATGGGACCCAATTCTTGCACACAGCCTCTTTGGGGAAAGGAATCAGAGGAACAGTTTCCAGTGCCCCACATCACAGTCTCCAAGTGCCTCCTCCTCCAGTGGGACCTGACCATGAAGATGGCCCGAACGGGCCTGCCTGGAGGGTGTGGGGGTGAGTCTTTTTGAAATGTGCCCCTCTCCGTGATATCTAGGTAGAGTCCACCTGTGTTCCCCAGGCTGCTCTCTCCAAAGAGGAGCTTCCTGCAGAAACACACAGCCTCTGAAGCTGCTGGGATGTGTGTTTCTGTGGGAGTGTTTCAAGTTGTGGATATGTGTGTGGCTGCGGTCATGTGAGTTTGTGTGTGTGTGTGTGTCTGTGTGTGGAGGTAAGTGGAGTCTGCTGAAAGAAATTTGGCTAATACACTGCAGCACTGTTTTTGTCACCCCATCTTCCAGTGGCCTGTCTCTGTGGCTCTGCTTGGGCTGAAGGTCTCCATGTTCTTTGTTTTTCCATGGCTCCTGAATCCACAGTGATTTGGAAGAATGGCTGACAACTGCCAGGTTCAAAATCACCTCCCCTTGCCAAAAAGCCACATTTCTACAAAGAAGAGAAACACACCACACCCCAAAACAGACAACTCCCCATGCTTTATTGTTCTGTGGCCAACCCAGGGCCAGACCCCAGCAGTCCAGTCGCAGGGCTTCTTGAATTTACCTCGTTTTGGTTTGTAGCTGAGCAGGTGCTTCAGGTCATCAGGGAGGCACTCCTCCATTGTCTCAGAATTTTATTCTGGGATGCAGAGTGTGAGCAACGATAAGGTCAGATAGGGGTGAGGATACAGTCTGTTGAAGTGTGGATGGGATCTCGCACCTTCACCTGCAAAAAAGGTGCAGACAGATGACACAGAAGTTGCTTCCAACTGCATCCCCTCATTCCCTTCATTGCACAGTCAACAGCATGGCCTGGTGCCCAGGTGGGATGACTCAATCGTGCAGGGAAAAGTTGGATTGCAAACTGGGGCCCTTCTGGCCAGCTCCAGAATTGAGCTTCCATTCCCGGAGCCACAATGAAGTGAGATGGACTGATGGTGGGTTGGATGTGGCCTCCACACTGGCCTCCTCTTTTCCTGACTCCCATGTTCCTTGTGGGCCTAGAGTTTCCTAAGTCTGGCTCAGTCTGACTTCCATGTTCCTCATGAATCTGGGATTTTTCTGGGTCTGGCTCAAAGTCTTCCACACTAAAAGTTTCCCAGTTCATGGAGGACGATTCTCATGGGAATCCATTGCATGAGTGTTTTCTTATAAACACTGTCAAATTTTAATTACTGGGCAGTTGTGATACTTTTGGAATCATAAATTTCGATTATATCCACCATCAAGATAACTTGTTCTCCCACTTCTAAAGGACAGCTGCATGACTCCTGTAGGATGAGAAACAGGCAGCTGTGTCTGGCTTTTGCCTGGCAATCTAGGCTGTGTTTCATGTCATCTGCACTTCCTTTCTCATTGTTTTATCTCCCACAGCCAACAGGGTAGGCCTAAAAGCAAAGTCCATATTCCTTGCTGGGTTTCTCCTCTGGGCATGGACAAATCCCACAGGTTGCACTGAGATCCAATCGAGCTGTGGTAAGGAGGATTGAGGCTGGACATGAAGAAGTACTTCCAGGTCCCACAGTCTGGGACCATTTTCTTGCTGGGGCTTTAAAGTAGCTGTCCTTCTGTGAGCACAGTGTTGTCACCGTCTTCCAGGGAAGGACTTGTCTTCCTCAGTTTCCAGTTAGCCTTGTGCGAGGCATTATGCTGGGAATGTTGGGGTTCCAGATACCTGGTCTCTGACCATGGGATTTCTGCTCTAGACATGGGTGAACTGACATCTCCCTGGCATCCTCCCAGTCACTGCCAGCTCTGCAGCATCATGAAACCCCTGAGTCCTTCACAACTCCCAGATCATCTCATCCTTCCTCCTTGCTCTGGGAAGACCATGTCTGAGTAGTTCCAACCAACCTCTCACCTTAAACCCAGTCCCTGACAACCAGAAGTACCTCCTTAGTCTGGACTTGACCTTCCTTGCTGTCATGGTCCATCAGCAATGACCAGGGCTGAAGCAGCACGTTTTTTCTACAAACACCCCTCCCTCCCAGTGACGCTCGTCCAATCCTCAGTGGTCAGGCAGGGAGTGGGGACAGCTTCCTGCCAAGAGCTCTGGAAGGCAGCTCTGCCTCCTCTGCTTGAAGCAGGCTCCTGTATACTCTGAGATGGTGGTGTTCATTTTAAAGAAGGGACCATCTTTCCTCCACAGCTCAGCTTACATTTGGAGGGAGACAAATGTGAGTTTCCAATCCCAGAATCTTAGCCACTGTACCAATCTCCATGGATGCATGGGATTCAGGAAAGGAGAGAAATGAGCAGAGCGAGGACACGAATAGAATCCGTTTCCTACCCCTTGTTCCAGCCCAACTCCCAGGGAAAGGCCCACAGAGGGCAAGAGAGGTGGACACTGAAAATTCCAGACTAAAGACCAACAGACAGATTTCAGCATTATTCCTTCTTGTAGGCAAAGTGGTGCCTAAGGATCTAACCAAATGAAAAAGCCTGGGAAATAGGCTATTTCTGCACCCCCTGACCCTTCATGCAGAGCAGGATATCGGCTTCAGCCCAGGAGCAATGCTAGAAGTTAAGAGGTTTGGAGTAGACTGTGAAGCAGTTCCTCCAAGGGCGTGCCAGATGAGGGGGTTGGAGCACCCAGCGCAGAACAGCATCCAAGGAAGGACGCCTTGGCGGTAACTCTCTGTGTCTCTGTGTTAACTTCACATACATTGTCTTGTGTGATCCTCACTGCCAGGTTCAGCACCAGGCACAGAATACATGCTTGCTGTACAAATGCATAAGTGAAGAGCCATGGAAGGAAGGTCAGGATCCTCAATTTTAGATGAAGAAACAGACACACAGAAAGGTTAAATGACTTGCTCAAGGTCACATATCTCATCAGAGACAGGGCCAAGTTTCAGTGGAGAGCCACTTTAGTGGTAGAGGGTGGTAGGGAGGAGGGAGGCAGGAAGGGAGAGAATGAACCATCAGACACCACACCAGGGGGAGAGGAGAGCTGCCATCTCTTTCTCTTTGTGAAAAGAGATTACTTCCTGGAAAAGATGGCATTTAAGATCACACAGTTTTAACAATAACCCATTGAAGGTTGATTTGTAGCATATGTAAAGTTCTGCCAAAAACATGGAGTGGTCAATGAGTAGACGGGGTCATTGAGGATCAGAAAAGAAAGACAACACTGAGAGTCTGGACTGCTAAGCCCCAGAATTTTGCTAGTCTTAAATGCTGGGTGACATCAGGCCAGCCACACCCCTCTCTGAGCCTCTAGAGAATGGAGATGCCAGATGTGGAGGAAGGTACACATGGGCAAGAGGAGGCAGGTCATTGCCTTCAGGGTAGCAATTGGAGGCATCAAGTTCCCACTTCCCTAGACCTATTCTTTGTTGTTATTATTGTTGTTGCTTTCCTCTGATTTTAATTGTTTTATGTTTTTTGAATAGGAAATACATGTACATGGTTCAAAACTCAAAAGGCACCAAAAGTTATACAGTGACAAGTAAATCTCCCCGGAACCTCAGAACTCCCAGGCCACCCATGTCCTCACTCCATTATAACTGCAGTAACCACTGAATTGTATAACCTCCAAAGGTATTTTCTGCTTCTCCTGGCTTGTACCCTGAGGCCACCACAAAACTGAGTTGAGCAATGATATTCTGAGGAGAGGTGGTACACATGTTTTGGCCCCTGGACTGGTGGGACCTTGGAATACTAAATACTCTCAGTTTCCACTCTGAAAAGATGCAGAAACTTGAGGTCAGGAGAGAGGACATTTCTGCATGCTTAGAAGCTCAGAAGCCTCACAGGTGAGAGGATGGAGTTCAAAGTCAGGCAGAGGCAGGAACCCTCTCAGGGGCTCTAGTACCACACTCCCACTCCAGAGCCTCACAGTGCCCTCTGGGTTAGCCTGGCTCAGGTATGCACCCAGTTAGGTCCTGCTCAAGTTTTCCAGAGAACAAGGCCCAGTGCTTCCCCTCCACCACCTGTCATATTATTGGGAGGCCTTTCTTGATGTCTCACTCTAGTTCCTTTGACTTTAGGCGCAGCCCATCGCTTTTGATTCTGCCGTCAGTGGAGATGGAACATGCTCTTGGAGATGATAGCTTCCAGGGACCCAGGCTCTTCCTCCCACTTGCATACACAATTTCCTTCAGGCCCTCTAATTCCACCTCAATCTTTTTTCCAGACTTAGAAGACACATGCCTGTTCTTTCAGCTACCCTCCCCCACCTGAATTCCCAGTGTGCCTCCATTCCCAACCACCTCATTCTTGCCCTGCACATCCCTTTGGCATTATTATCCCCAAGTATGCTTTGGTCATGAAGATGGTAAAATCCCAACCAAAAGCCAAGTCCTCCACCAGATTCCGGAGGTAAATCCAGCCTAGTCTCTTTGTTAACTGAATCTCTCCATTTTAGGTGATGGCCTAGCCCGACTCTTGAACTTGTGCCCAACGATCTGACTCTCAGATCCTCACACATGGCCTGTTGTGAGATAAGGCACAAGTTTACCCCAAGCCTGGGATGGCCTCCCCTCTGGTCTCTTCTCCAAACCCTCCCCTGGTGAACCTCATCCTTTGCATTTACACACTAAGCAATTATTATTGAGCACTATTCCAAGTTCTTAGAATACATTGGTAATCAAAACAGAGAAAGAACCCCCACCTATGTGGAGTTTACATTCTAGCAGAGAGAGAAAGATAATGAACAATATTCTTACTAAATAAGTAAATTATATCATATATTAGAAAATGATAATTGTTACAGAAAAGGAATAGATCACATACAGAAAGATCAGCATGGAGGGGAAATCTGAGGTTTTTAATATGGTTGTCAAGGAAATCTCACTGAGAATATGGTATTTGAACAAAGACTTAGAGGTGAGAGAGGAAGTAAGCCCCATAGACATCTTGGCAAGAGTATTCCAAGTAGAGGGAGTGGCTGGTGCTAAGGCTCTGAGGCAGGAACATGCCTGGCAAGTCTGTGGGAGTGAGCAAGAGTGGGAGGAGATGGCATCAGAGAGGTAAGGAGGAAACAGATGATGTTCGGCCTCATAAGTCAACTTAAGGACTTTGCTTTTTACTCGGAGTGAAGTAGAGAGGAAAGACATGATTGGACTTCAGGGTCTTGTTTTGTTTTGAGAGACAGTCTCACCCTGTCAACCAAGCTAGAGTGCAGTGCCACAATCTTGACTCACTACAACTTCTGCCACCCAGGTTCAAGTGATTCTTATGCCTCAGCCTCCCATGTAGCTGGGATTACAGGCACCTGCCACCATGCCCAGCTAATTTTTGTAGTTTTAGTAGAGACGGGGTTTCACCATCTTAGCCAGGCTGGTCTTGAACTCCTGACCTCATGATCCACCCACCTTGGCCTCCCAAAGTGCTGGGATTACAGTCGTAAGCCACTGCACCTGGCCTGGACTTCAGTTTTTAAATAGTCTTTTTGTCTTTTGTGTTGAGAATAGATCACAGGGGGCCAAGGGAAGATGCAGGGAGACTTGTTGAAAGGTCATTGCACTAATCCAAGTGAGAAATGTGTGGCTTGGACCAGGATGGCAGCAGTGCATGTGGTGAGAAAGGCCCAAATTCTGGATTTGGTGGCAGTTTCCTCTTCCTTGTCTTCCATCCTTTTGATCTCTTTGCTTCCTCTCTTCTTTTCTAGGTTGTATGTTTTCTCTCTTCTTGAAGACTGAGAGCTCTCTGTGGGTGGGGCTCAATCTCTGTTCCTGGGATCTGGGGCAGGACCCCAGGCAAAGGACAGACAGGCCCCGTGCTACTTGGGAACAGGCTGACAAGCCATGCAGCTTCACAGCCCTTCCCAGTTACAGGGTCCCTGAGCCAAGGGGAAGAGGCTGCTGTTTCTAAAGAGGATGTGATGGACAGTTATTGAAGGTGCTTAGCTGGGGGCTCCACTCTAGTCTTAATCTGAGCCACCTCAAGGAAATCATAACCAGCTGTTAAAAACATGTTGAGACCAAAGCTGGTGTGTGTGTTTGAGTTGAGCTTCAGACAGCTACTTAACACTGGGGGCCTCTGGGCTTTTGATTCCTCCACTTCTAGCCTGCCATCTCCCCCCAGCTGGCTGGTGCTTATCACCCAAGACGTTGTTTAAATCATACTCATTTCCTATAAACATTTCACTTGAAATGCCATCCTCTGCTCCAGAAATTCATCTATCACCAGCCTAGGGGTGTAGTTGAGGAGCCTTGGGGTGATCGCTCCCCATCTCTACCCCTGCCCCCAGTCACCCCTCTTCCCATGACCCATATTCTCAGGTTTCACGCCATAAGATCTACTTCCTCTCCGTGTAACAGGACACTTAGTGCCAGAATTATTTATAACATTGAGATGGCAACAGGGCAATGGGGAGCAGCCCAACCCATGGACACTTTCTCTTTGAAAGCTCGATCAATGGACCTAGATCACTGTTTACTACTTGGTGTCTCGGCCTCTGCCGTGTTTCCTGCTGGCTTTGGGGGATGGGGAAACAGGGGTCTGGACCAGGTCAAGGCTGTCCTCAGAGTTTAAGATGCTTATAAACCAGGTCTCCAATAAAGTTATTCCTTCACTGTACCTCTATTCCTTGGCCAAGCACTTCCCGGCCTCAGGTGAGCTCTCTTCTTGGAAATGAACCATTCTTGGGGCTTTTTCTCAAACAGGAGCCCTCTGTCTCCCCTAGGAAAGCTGGCATTATGTCCCTACCACAGTGGTAGAGCTAGGACTTGAGCTGAGGAAGTCATCTGATATGGATCAGAATGGGGATGTGGAAGATTCCGGGAGTTCTTCCGAGGAAGGGCTTGAATTGGCCCCACCCAGTCTGGAGTGGAGGTAGAGGGGTGGATGAATTCACTTCTTCAGGACTGAAAACCTTTTTACCATCCTCTTCCTCCCCAGTCATAGCCAATTACTCGTTGTCCTAATTTGAAGGCTCTGTTGTCTGGACTGGAGAATTTTTACCCATTTTCCAGCCCCTCTCCCGGTCTCATTTGTTTGGGCAGTGTCACATTAAAGGCATTGCCAGACTTCCTAGGATTTCCCAAAGGCCTGACCCAACTCCTTCCCAAATGGTGAAGCACCTCTGCCTCCTTCCCTTTACACCTGTGGACCTACCACACTGGGGAACTCCTAGGTGAGTCCCAGAGAAAGCCCAGGTGAAAGACTATGAGCCAGTCGGAAGGGATCAGGATAGAACCCAAGTTGGGACAGGCAGGGGAGGCAGTCCCAGTCTTTAGGGGGGTCAAGTAATTCCCCTTTACAAGCCAAATGAAGAAAAAAAGTTCTAAGGGGAGCATATGACTCCATAAAATAAAGGACATAATTGGGAGTGATATCTAATTTATCTATTGAATGCCTCCTACATACTCTTTTATCACTTAGATGGACAGAATATAATTGGTGTGCTGTGCACCATCAATTTCAGGGCCTTGGCTTCCTGTGCTGACTACAACTATTACTGTCAGATTATGACACTGTAATACCAAGATCAATGACATTTTAAATGTGCTCCAGTTATGGGCAATTGCTGACAATAAAAAGAGTGACAAATTGATGAAACTTGGGCAGCGATGATCTGGTGTCAAAAATAAACCATAAAGAATCTGATTTCCACACTGAGAGAGGTGCCTGGGACACCAGCTTAGGGGGGAAAGGCCCAGCGAGAAGAGAACCTATCCTGCCCACATGATCTTGGCCACTCAGGAAGCCACCTGCTCTGGAAAACTCCCTCTAGGCTGACCTGAAAGGCCCCAGCAGTAAGATGGAGAGGTGGTCTTTGGTTAAGGCTTGGGTTCCCTTTAGAGAGAATTGTCATCACTGAGACTCTGGGAAGTGTCTGTGTGTGGCTGCCAAGGTGGGGGCCACACAAACTCACTGAGATACTGGTGGGTGGTCTTTCATGTCCTGCCCACACTGAGGAATTAGGGCAGACTGGTTGAGTCATAGAATCACACTTAGCCAATGTTAAAGCTAAAAGAGACCTTGAGAGTCTCTCTTCATGGAGGGTCAGGCTCTGTCCTCCAAACTGTCCCTCAGCAGAGGGACCTGGATCTTCCCTAACTCTGCTTCAACTTGCCCCAGGCATTATTTCCCCGGGCTAATCCCCTTCCCCACCCGTTGCAGGGAACTCCAGGCCTTCAACCAGCAGAACTATTTTGGCGTACATTAAGGTGGGCCTCCTCCAGCTCTTTTTTTTTTTTTTTTTTTTTTCAGATGGAGCCTCGCCCTGTCGCCCAGGCTGGAGTGCAGTGACAAAATCTCCACTCACTGAAAGCTCCGCCTCCCAGGTTCATGCCATTCTCCTGCCTCGGCCTCCTAAGTAGCTGGGACTACAGGCGCCCGCCACCACACCTGGCTAATTTTGTGTGTTTTTAGTAGAGACGGGGTTTCTCCATGTTGGTCAGGCTGGCCTCGAACTCCTGACCTCAGGTGATCCACCCACCTTGGCCTCCCAAAGTGCTGGGATTACAGGTGTGGGCCACCATGCCTAGCCTCCAGCTCCTTATTTTTAATGGATTACCTTAATTTGTAGTATTCCTTTCATACATTTTTCTCACTTTAATAATCACAATTTTAAAATATGAACACTTTAGTAGCATTGCTAATACTACTTTATATAATAATACTTTAGTAGTATGGCTAATACCACTATTACAAGGATAACTACTATTGGGAAGCATTTATTGCACAACTACTATATGTAAACTCTGTTTCAGGTGTTTCATGTGTATTATTTTTCATCCCCACAGCAGCCCTGTGAGGTGGGTATTGTTCTTCACATTTTAGACGTGAGGAAACAGACTTAAAGTCGTAGTGATGTGCCTAAGATGACACAGCTGATAAGCAGTGGAGCAAGAAAGGAGCCTGAGATGTGGCTCAACATTCATCTTTTTTCCATTGCCCCTTTCACAGACCTTTATAGTCCCATTTATAGACAGGGCTGAGGGCCTCCCTGAAGAACATATAGCTAGTCAAAGTCAGAGCTAGACCTAAGCCTAGCTTTTCTGACCCTTCTCTTATTAGACCTGCATTGTATGTATTTTTTTTTAAAGACTGGTCAAATGCAGTAGTGAGAAGGGGGAAGGAGCAGAACAAGGAGTTTGATCTGTAACTGACTGTGAACAATCAATTGAGATAAGGCACTACCTTCGGAACACCCCCCACACTCTTTCCAGTTGCACCACAACAGTTCTTTCCCCAGGTCACCACCACTCACTCAGCCACGGGCTTCAGCCTTGGCCTCTAAGAGTCAGCAGGGGGTCACAGTTGGCTTTGAAACCAAGCAGACAGGTGTTTGAATCCCCACTCTGCCACCTTACAGCTCTGTGGCCTTAGGCAGGTGGTTGTGAGAATTTAAATGGCATAAGCATATAAAAGTATTTGACGTAGAGTCTGGCACATATTAGTGCTCACTAAATAGTAGTTATTAAAGATACAACCTGGGACAGTGGCAGCTAGTTTAACAAACCACCACACTCCGTAGCACCTCTCACCTGGGTGCAAGTGCCCCAGGCCACACTGCAGTAGCTGCACGCTGAGGGTGTCCCCGGATATATAAGAAGCCTCTCCGAGGGCCACAGAGGTTTTTTGATGGCAGATGGTTTAAAATATCATTTTTACATTAAGTTGTATAAAATATACTATGTTATAAAATGCAAAGTTTGCATCATTTTAGAGCTAAAACTTAAGGCCACAAAAAGAATCTGCTATTTTCTTATTAATAAAAAATCCTATTTTTATATAATGCAAATAATGAAGATGAAGTAACCTATTATTTAATTAAACATGTCTTTAAAAAAAAAGAAATAATTGGTCCTTGCTAATGGCCCTTCAGGGCAAGCCCCCAGAGTGCTGGGGCCCAAGTTTACCCTCCTGCCTCTAATATCAAAGGGACTTTGGCAGAAAAGTTTGAGAAACCCTGTCAGGAACAGAGCCTACACAAGGACCAGGAAATCTGACTTCTTCATTCTTTAAAAGAACAAAACAAATAGCAACATTGTTTTTTCTACCTTCCTACTGTTTTACCTTCAAGTTTAGCATTAAGAACATGAAATGTTGTGTTTAAATTTATGATTCTTATTTCTGGTTCCTTTCTGTTTAATAATTACTAGCTGAATCATTAATCATCAACCAAGTGAATGGTCACACTTTATAGAAGGCTACAAGGTGGAACACAAGATTAGTTGGATTCTTAAGAAAGAAACTAAAAGCTGCTTGCGACTTAGATGCTCTTAAGTTTTATGACTGTGGTGGGAATTTGAGCATCCAGGCCTTGCTTCTGATGATCCTCTCGTTCCAGTGCCCCAGTTCTAATCCTCTGTGGGTGCCCTCGGTAGTCACAGCCTTGGGGCTGCCCAGGGCTCAAGGCGTCCATGTTTTTAAAGTGCCCAACAATGGCTTTTGATTCATCAGAAACTCCACAGGACACCCACCTAACTGGGGCTCTGATACCTAATTCAGCAGCACCCACCACCAAGTCTTTCTAAGTTTTATTTTTTTTAATATTACATGCAATATATGTTAATTATAAATAAATGTAATAATTCAGGTAGGTGAAAAGGAGAAGGAAAAAAGGCCCAAGTAGTTTCCCCACTGAGGAAGAACGCTGATTAGTCAGGCAAGTCACGTGACCTTTGGAATCTTGTTGAATCTACACCCATTTAAGGGGGAAGTCTATATAGCCTGATTCTTTGATGGTTTAGAGCTCTGCTCAGGTTAGAGTTCAGGGAGGTGGTATCTACAGGGTGTATTGCTCTGATAAAAATTAGCAGCCTTCCCAAGTTCAAGATATGAGGGGACTGATCACAGATTTGTTTGAGAATCATTACGTTGGCCCTTTGGTGACTCTAGGGATTAGATCCAGAGTACAAGGGGCCCACACTTCCAAGGGATCCCACCACTCCTTCAAATAGCAGGCTCGTGGAAAGGGGATTCCAAGATTCTCCCCCTCCAGCTACGGCATTGCTTTACAATATTTAACATTCCTTGACTAAAGAACAAGTCTAAATTGCAAGTACTCCTAGGAAAGGGACTGGTTTAGATCCATGACAGCTCCCTCTCTGAGAGAAGGGCGTGCCTTACTCCACCAGACCAAACAAAACTAAAGTGACCTCTCTGCTCCCCCCAGAGAGGGGCACTGGGGATGGTAAAAGCATTTCTGTCCCTGAACCCAGGGATGAAGTAGAGAAATGCCACTTAACCATAGCCAGGACCCAAAGAATTGTGAGACCAAGCTACAAAAGGCTCAAGTGAGGGGCTGGAAAGAGTGACAAAAACAGAGGACAGAACTGTGAGCCACCGCACTTCATTTAGGAAGTCAGTGCTAAGGTAACAGGAAGGATCGGGCGGGCTGTCAGGGGAGTGGAACGTGTTAGAGAAACAACAAAACTGAGTGGAGATGCAAGGCAGGAGACTGTTTATAGGTGAATTAGCAGCAGAGGGTGGGTGGTGGCTGTGCCTGGGGCAGGGGTGGTGGGGTGAGGAGGTGGGGGTGGCAGTGACTTTGAGGGAGCTCTTGCAGAGGGCAGCCTTTTAAGGTGAAGAGCCAGAGCTCTGGGTCTTAAGAGTTGGGAAAGCAGGTTATATTTCACATCCTTCCCTGAATAGAGAAATTGAATTTGGTCAAGAATAGGTCCTAAGAAGCAGCTGTGAGCACCCCACTTTTCCATCTTGTTGATGAATATGGAGTGGGAGCAAAGTTGAGTGTGGGCATCTGACAAGGTCTTTATGATCCTAGATGCACTTACTATACCTTCCTCCTCCTCCTCTGCCTTGGCTAATGGGCTGTGGGTACCCACCACACAGAGGGCTATAAGACACTCATTGTGGCTGATGCAGAAGCTGGGCCCTGCCCTCCTGGCCTTCTAAGGAAAGTGATTATTGTTTTTGGCTTGTTTTTCAACTATCCCTTTGCCCCCAGCAGGACTGAACCTTTCCACTTTTACCATCTCTGGGTCCCTTCAGATCTTTTATAGCCTTGAACTACCTGCTACAAGATTTTTTTCTGTCCTAAGAACGGATGTCTGGTCTGTTTCCTAACATTAATCCCTTCCACACGGCACAGCCTCATTTCCTCTAGATCAGAGAGATGGCTTCTGGATTCATCTTTCCCTGCAATCCAGCTTCTCCTCCTGGGGCCCTCATACTGCAGACTGGGATCATCATCCAGGCTTTTGCACTGGGCCAGGAATTTGGGAGTCATCCTGGATCCGTCTGCCCCTGTCAACCTTTCTCTGTCAACAGATATTTATTGGGCATCTTCAACAGCCAGGCCCTGTTCATGGTGCTGAAGAACAGCATGTATAAAACAACCCTGCCCTCACAGGGCGATCACCAGTGACCTGTGGTGTGGAGTCTCCTTTTAGCTCTGTCTCCTCCTTCCCACTGTCACCATCCTTGGTCCTCCTCTGTCACCTGGAATACTCCACTTGGTAACCAGCATGATCTTATAACGCTAGTTTTACCCTTGTCAGCACTTTGCTGAAAACCTCAAATAAAGACTTTTTTAAAAATGTGCGATGGAAAACTAAAGTTATTAATTATATCATAACCATTGGACCTCTTTTTAAAATGCACGGAAGCCTTAGAATGTTATTAATGGATATATATCTATGGTAAAAATAGAAAAAATATATGATGGTGGTGCCTCTGAAAGGGAGGGGAATGGTACTGGGGAAGGGACAAAGGGAACTTCAGCTTTATCTGTAATGACCTCTTTATTTTGAAAACTCAAGAGCAAAATTGACAAAATTTTAACAGTAACTTAAAAAAACCTCAAGTCTGGATAGTGGGTTCAAGAGTGTTACTTTATATGGATAGGCAGTGACTCATGCCTATAATCCCAGCACTTTGAGAAGCCAAGACAGGAGGATCTCTTGAGCCCAGCCATCCTCCCGCCTTGGTCTCTTGAAATTTGAGACTAGCCTGGGCAGCATAGTGAGACCCTGTCTCTACAAAAAAAAAAAAAAAATTAACAGCAACTCAGGAGGCTGAGGCAGAAGGATTGCTTGAGTACGGGAGGTCAAGGTTGCAGTGAGCTATGACTGAGCCACTTCACTCCAACCTGGATGATAAAGCAAGACTCTGTCTCAAAAAAAAAAATTTAAAAAAAAGTGTTCCCTGTAATCCCAGAACTTTGGGAGGCTGAGGCAGGTGGATCACTTGAGCTGAGGAGTTCGAGACCAGCCTGGCCAACATGGCGAAACCCTGTCTCTACCAAAAATACAAAAAATTAGCCAGATGTGGTGGGATCAGTCTGTAGTCCCAGCTACTCAGGAGGCTAAGACAGGAGAATCACTTGAACCCAGGAAGTGCAGGTTGCAATGAGCCAAGATCTCACCACTGCACTCTAGCCTGGGCGACAGAGTGAGACTCCATCTCAAAAAAAAAAAAAAAAAAAAAGGAGTGTTACATTAGTTGTCTATATTGTAGATACACTTGTCAAAATTTAAGCCATAAAACCCTCAGTGTCCCTCACTGTTCCCACCCCCTTAGCCTGGCATACTGGGTCTTTCACAAGCTTGTGTCAACCTCCTCTACAGACTCATCTCTACACTGAGGGACTTGCAGTTTCCAAGTGCTCTGGCCTTGCGGCCTTTGCCCATGCTGTTCTCTTCTTGAATGCCCTTTCCTGCTTTGCTACTTTGTTCTTGCCATTCTGGATTCAGCTCCTGGGAGGCCCTGTGGATTGAAGTCAGATGGCTCAAGTAGGCAGCTGGTTAGGACCCAGGAGACAGAAACGTGTCTGGGGAGGACAACACTTTCTTGTCCTGGTTTCTATTCAGCTGCAACTAGCGAAACAGATCACCTGTTTCTTGTTCAAAACTAGGATCAGTGAGAGGAGGGTGGAAAGAGTAAGATCCTCCACAGTGCCCTCCCACCTCCCAGCCTCCGCCCACGTAGCCTAGCTCCAAGGCAGAAACTTCCCAGCAGAAAAAGGAAAACTGATAACCCCATTCCTTGGTCTGGCTCTGTTAGGATTATCATCTGGTTTCCCCTGCTGGTGTTGGAAGGGCTGTGTTGGTGCAGGCCAGTGCTATCCTGTGACTAGAGGGAAGAAGCTCCGCCTGGGCCTGATTTGGCCACAAGCTCCTAGTAAGATGCTGAAAAGGAACACAAACTCTAGGCCCAGGACACCCTCCCCATGCCATCCCACTCCTGACTTCTGTGCACCTTGTGAGCAGATCAGATTTGGTGTTGCTTCTTCCACATCATCCTCGCATCCCCTTTCACAGACTTGGATAGATCCCCTCATGGGAACCTATGGATCTATGGCATATCTATGGATATGCCACCCCATGGCAACTGTCCTTTAGCCTTCATAGCATACATCACCCTGAATTATAGCTGCCTGTTTATGTATGTATCTTCTGCACCAGGTGGTACTCTCTGATGGGGCAGGGATTGAGTCTGTCTTGTTCACAGTTGCATCTCCAGCACCTGCAACTCTGCCTGGCTCAGAGTAAGTGCTCAATACTTTTTGTTTTTGATTGAATGATAGAATGACAAGTGAACTCTATTTCCCACTAGACTGTGAGCACCATGTTGACAGGGACCATGCCCTGATCATCTCTGGATCCTTAGGGCCTATATAGTGCTTGCCACATAGGAGGTGCTCAGTAGACACTTACCGATTTGAGTGAATGGACTTCAGTTTCTCCACTTATAATCTGAGTAAGAGGAAGATATTCTTTGCCCTCTCTCCCTCCTTCTCCAGCCACATTGGGGGTTGTGGTTGATGCTATGACGTCGTTCCTGCCTTATTCAACTTCATGTCCAAATCTTCTAATGGCAAAACACAACATGGTGGCCAAGTCTCAGAGTCCAGGCATCCCTCCCATAGCCCATAGCCAAGTATGGGAGAAAGGTGCTTCAGGGTCTCTCTCCATTCACTTTAGTCTCCAGCATTAGCCAAGACCCCACTGTCTACCCTGAATTCTTCCTGCTATTGCACAAGGCTTCTTTCGTCTTATTGTATTGCCAGGGAAAATATAGCCAAGATTATCTGCTCCTCAACCTGAAGTAAAATAGAGATTCTGCCTAATTTTAGAACCGGTGTTAGCCAGGTGTGGTGGCTCACGTCTATAATCCAAGCATTTTAGGAGGCCAAGGCAGCAGGGGAATCACCTGAGTCCAGGAGTTCAAGACCAGCTGAAGCAATATGGCAAAACCCCATCTCTACAAAAAAAAGCAAAATAATTAGCTGGGTATGGTGGCACATGCCTGTAGTCCCAGCTACTCAGGAGGCTGAGGCAGAGGATAATTTGAACCTGGGAAGTGGAGGTTGCAGTGAGCCAAGATCATGCCACTGCACTCCAACCTGGGTGACAGAGTACGATCCTGTCTCAAAATAAAAATAAAGAATAAAACCAGTGTTTCCACATCTGGAACTTTCTTTTCAAGTTTATATCACCTCTCCTTCCAAATCAGGTCTCCCCTCCTCCAGGAAGTACTCCTTGATTAAGCCAAAAATGTTTTAATTTTCACCACTTGTCCTATTACTCTGCATCCCCACAGCACTTGTAGTTTGTACTTATTCCCTATCCTGTTTAAGTGTGTGTTCATCATCCTAACCATACTGCATAAGCAGGCACTATTTTAAGTAGGCTTGATAGATTATCAGAAATTGACAAGAAAAAATTCACACCAAGAAGAAAGTAGAAGAGGATTTTTTCTTTTCTTTTCTTTTTGCTTTATCATAGAATTTCTTGTCTTGGTGCTTACAAGCTGTGTAGCACAATGAGAGGAGAATGTGATTTCTGCAAAACATTTCAGGAAGCACAAAGTATCTGTAAATACCCAGGAATAATGACCATGTCTTTTATTTGTATTATTTTTCTAATTCCTCCACTCTATAGGGTTTGCCCAAAGTCCTTGATTTAAGCCCTTGAGTGTTGGTTGGCTGACTTAGCTTTGGATTGTGGTCCACTGAGATCGCTGGATCTTTTTAAGCTTTAGAGTTATGCCCTGCCATGTGGATGCAGGTGGAGGAAGGACTTCTCAGTGTGACCCATGAGAGGAGTGGCTTTCCTGGGCCCCAGGCCCCAGGCTGCATGCGTATGGGAGGGAGGAGGAGAAGCAAGGAAAGGAGGAGAGACAGAAGTATATACTGAGCTGGTAGTTGGGGGAAGGGTTGGCGGGTGGGGAGAAGGGAAGAGAGGAGTCTGGGCCAAGGCAGAAGTGTCTCCCTGGGGAGTCCTCAGAGTGGGCAGCTGGACATCGCTCCATCCTTCCCGCCTGACGGATGGGTCTGCTGCGCAGGCACAAGCTGTCGGGCCAGGCCCTGCCAAGGCAGAACAGTGGCGCTTCTGGGCGCTCTGCTCCGCTCCGCTCCGGAGGATGGGGCCCGCCTGGGAAGCCAGGGAGTGATGGAGAAAGCAGACGTCCCAGAACAGGAGCCGCGGGGTCACAGAAGCACGCCTGCCTCCCGAAACAAGGGGCCACAGGATGAGGTGGGAGGGGACCGGTAATCAACGCGGGGGAGCGTTTGGGGGAAATGTTGGTCTAAAGAAGAGAGTCAGAAGGACGCGCGCTGAAGGAGCCTGGGGATGAAGAGCTCGATGATTTGGCCACAAGCCCCCTCACCTTTAAGAACAAAGCTTCCTGCATTCAGTTGCAGAGTTTTGTTTCCCGGTCAGATGCTCAGAGACCTTCCAACCTGTCCCCCACCCCTCAGCCTTGCCCATCTCCATGGGCATCTTCCGCGCCCTCACCCGGGACTCGGAGACCACCACCCTCCGCCTCCGCCTGGCCTGGCCCGTGAGATCCCTGACGCTCCAGTTCGGAATCCGGGATCCGCAGGCTCCCAGATTCGCCGCCGGCCCGGCTCCCACCCGCCCGTCAGCAGCCTCCCCCTCAGCGTTAATTAAAACTTGCGAGATGGAGAGGCTGGCGCGGGCGGCTCCGTTTAATTTGCAGCATCTTTCATGCTGCTGACGATGGTAAAGGGCTTTAATATTGAAATATGGGCCATTTTCCCAGTTCCAGCCCTCGCCGCGTGCTCCCCTCACCCCCACACCCAGCCACCCCGCGCTTGATGAAAGAGCCCTTGCAAATCCATTAAGGAGAGATAATTGAAAACTCTGGGGTAATATTTAAGACCGCGTGCTGACGCGGGGTGGAGGGCCTGACTGCACCCGTCAGTGCTGGTGCGTGCCAGTCCCTAGCGCTCAGGCCCTCCAAGGCCCCGCGGACGCCCAGCCAAGGCCCGCCATCTTAGCGGTGCCTCCTCACTCCCTGCACTCAAAGGGCTGGCTCTGCGCTAACCTGGCTCTGCTGAAGACTTGCCTGGAGACCCGAGTTCCAAAAGGAGCCACAAGGCAAGCTGTGTGACAGATGCATTAGGGCCAGCATGCACGGGGGCCAAAGCATCTTGTCCCACTCCTTCAGCTTCGGTTTGGTGCACCAGCATCAGGCACTGCTCAAGCTTCTGAGCACAGCATCCCCTCTGCCTGCAAACTTTTCCCTCCAGCACTTTCTACTTGGGGAATTGCTGTTCCTCTTTCAAAACCAACCCAGTTCCACCCCAAGTAATGGTGCAGTGGGGTATGGAACGTGGGTGGGAGTATAGACACGCCAAGATCCTGGTGTGACTATTGTTGCAGCTGCATGATGAGGACACTATACTGCTCTGTTTTGATATGTTTTTAATGTTCCACAACAAACATGTTTAGAAAGCAGCTGAAGCATCTTCTTTTACGCCTCCCTCTCCCATAAATACAGACTACCTGTTATCTTGTACATTGATGTTCCTTAGCACATCGTGTTGCCATTATTTGTTTAAAGTCTTTCTGCCTACTCAGCTGTGACATCTTCAGGACAGGGATCAGGTCTAATTTCACTCCTTAGCCCTTGCTCCAGGCCCAGTGCAAGGCACATAACATGCGCTCAGTAAACATCACTGAATAGGCTGCTCTCTGGGAACCTAGAAGTCTCTAGGGCTTAAGGTTAGGATACAAGCACACGGAAGGAGGGTAGGGCAAAGCATGGAAGAGGGGTGGGGTCTGTGAGGCTGGGTTGGGGATGTCTCTCTCCCACAATGACTGGCTTCAGGATGTTCCCAGAATTGGAAAAGGGTAGAGGACCCTGTTCTGCACTGTGATTTAGGAATCCTTAGGTCTCTACCTGGGACTTTTGGGGATGTTTCCCCACTTCACTCCATTTGGCTTACTCTCCCAATCAGGTTAGACACACACACACACACACACACACACACACACACACACCACCACCACCACACACCTTAGACAGGGAAAGATTGGGAAAGAGGGAAGCAGAAGAGATTATTTGAAGACCTACTTGTGCAAAAGGCATGAGTAGTTCAGGCATTGCCATGGATACCCAGCTAACCCCCTACCACAGGGTCTTTCCTACTTACCCCTTTTGCACAGTCTTCCCCAACACTGTGTCCAACACCCATACAGGGGTTATACTCACAGGATGGCACTATCGAGGAAGAGGGGGCTGTTCTGACTCAGCCCCCCTTAACCGCACATTGGCCCTGAAGCCACAGTTGCAATGATGCCCTCTCTATGGCCAGAATGAGATCCAAACCATTCCAAAGTTCCATTTCCAAACAAGGACTCCTTGTTAGAACCACAAAACATCAGAGCTGGAGGCAACCAAAAGAACACTGTGTCCCCTCTTAGTATCTATGAGGCAACTAAGACTTAGAAAGGGTCTGTGATGTGCCCCAGGTCACAAAGCCATTGGTAGCTGGATGGGTGGGGTGGCTCACGCTTGAAATCCTAGCACTTTGGGAGGCCAAGGTGGGGGATCATTTGAGGTCAGGAGTTCTAGAAAGCCTGGACAATATGGCAAAACCCTGTCTCTACTAAAAATACAAAAATTAGCGGGCAGTAGTGGAG
>NC_000020.11:29563363-29564411 GCF_000001405.40 Homo sapiens | reverse complement strand
CTCCACACCCATGGAAGGAAAAGCGCTTGGAGATGCACATCCTCAGATAGCCCACAGTCATTAGGGCTGGAGGAACACACACAGAGAGGCACATATACACACTCAGACCCCCATCTCTGATTCAAATCCACTCTTCAGCAACCAACCCCCCAACCCCACCCACCTCACATCCTCCGATGTCCTCACACTCCATTCCTCCTGTGAGGTATTTCCTGAAACACTGCTTCTCAAACACCACTGTGCATACAAATAACCTGGGACCTGGTTAAAATACAGATTCTGACTAAGTAGATCTGGGGTGGCACCTGAGCTCTGTTTACTAACCAGCTTCCAGGTAAGGCCAGGGCTGCTTCTCCAAAGATTTTAAGCAATGGTCCTCCCACATTGGAAGGGCAGGGGCTTTCAAAATGTAAAAGAGATAGGAGTGTGCAGTTTGGGAAAGCTCCCCTCCCACTCCCATCCCCCAAATGCTGCTGTGCACACCCAGGTGACTGAACTGTTTCTAGAATGCTGTTACCTCACTCTTTACATGGCTCCCTCTCATTCTTCAAACCTCAGCCCAAGTGTCACTTCCTCAGAGAAACTTTCTCTGACCACCCAATTTATTTTATTTTACTTTACTTTATTTTATTTTATTTTATTTTATTTTATTTTATTTTATTTTATTTTGAGACGGAGTTTTGCTCTTATTGCCCAGGCTGGAGTGCAATGGCACGATCTCGGCTCATGGCAATCTCCGCCTCCCAGGTTCAAGCGATTCTCCTGCCTCAGCCTCCCAAGTAGCTGGGATTACAGGCATGCGCCACCACGTCTAGCTAATTTTTGTATTTTTAGTAGAGACAGGGTTTCTCCATGTTGGTGAGGCTGGTCTCGAACTCCTGACTTCAGGTGATCCGCCCACCCCAGCCTTCCAAAGTGCTGGGATTACAGGCATGAGCCACCATGCCTAGCTGATCACCCAATTTAAAGGGTTCCCTGCTCCACCCTGGCTGTGATTACTCACTTCACAACAGGTCTCAAAATTTGCATGTATCTATTTGCTAACTTG
>NC_000020.11:29556141-29562970 GCF_000001405.40 Homo sapiens | reverse complement strand
GAGACCAGCCTGGCCAACGTGGTGAAACCTCGTCTCTACTAAAAATACAAAAATTAGCTGGGCATGGTGGCACAAGCCTGTAATCCCAGCTACTCTGGAGGCTGAGGCAGGAGAATCACTTGAACCTGGGAGACACAGGTTGCAGTGATCCAAGATTGCCACTGCATTCCCACCTGGGTAACAGAGGGAGCCTCTGTCTCAAGAAAAATAAAAAATAAAAATAAAAATAAAAAAATAAAAGATTATCTGAAAGAGTATCTGAATCCAGGACTGAGGCCACAGGTAATCTGAGAAAGTATCTTGGAGGAAGGAAAATGGGAGGAAAAGAACATTGTGTGAAGGACTTAAGAAAGGTGACTCAAGGCAAGTGGGGAGGCAAGGGTATCCAGATAAGATTGGCCCCATTGGTCCTGGGTTGATATGACAGGGGTGAGGAAGGGTCCCGGAGGGAGAGATCCTGGGGGTAGCAGCAGATGCTGCAGAGTCTCGGAAAGCATGGCAGGCACTAAGAAGACACGTGGGCTTCCCTCCACCTCATGGACAAGGACCTTCATTTATTCATTCTTTCCTACACTTGACAAATTCTTACTGAGATCTTATTAGGCGCCAGGCACTGTGCTGGGTGCTGAATATTCAGGAATGAGCAAATGGGTCTGGTTCCTACCCTCCTAGAGATTACTGTCCAGTGGGAGAGACTGACAGTAAACATATTAATATGTTACAGTTGGGCCAAGTCTACAAAGGATAGGGTATGATAACAGGTATGATGGGTGGTTCCCTAGGGAGAAGTTTCCCTAGGGAGTGACAGTCACCCAGAGTGTGATGGGTGGAGGTCTTCCTTGCCAGCCCCCTGCTAAGCTTTCGTCCTGGACATTCCTGCATTCCTCTGCACTGTTCATTTAAGAGGAGCATCTCTTCCCTGAGCAAAGGTGGTTCGGGCACACAGCCTGAGCCTGCCAAGGTTGTGGGCCATAAATCAATGCTGGCACTCCCTTGGCAGTGGGCTCTCCTCTGAGCTGCCCAGATGGCAGGCAAGCCTGGGGCACCAGGGGCAGCCAGGCACTCAGGAGGGGGGAGGTGGGGAAGGTGGAGACACAGCTGGGCCCCAGGCTTCTGATGGCAGCTGCCCACTTCTGTCTAAGGGCCCTAGGCGAGGGAAAATGCCAAAGTCCTTCTATTCTAGTCCCAGGGACCGTCTGACTCCCAAGTCAGTCTGGCATGGGGCTGTTGGGATTATTGTTCCCACCCCAGCCAGGGACCAGGGTCTCATAGGCATCCTCTGAGACCAAGGCTCTTGGATGACCTCTTGGGATCACAGTCTGCTCTAACATTCAACCTGAAAGTTCTGCCTGTGGTTTGACCTTCTTTCCTCTTGCTGTAGCCGAGGTGTCTTCTTTCACCCTGCATGAAAGATGAAAGACAGTAGCTCCCCATTTAGTGGGGGCTTTGGGACTGTGTGATATCTCCCTCTGCCTTCACTTTAAGCCTCCCAGAAAAGCAGGATAAAAAGATGCTTTGAGGTCAGTTGGAGAGATGGAACTCTGCCCTCTTGGGGGTTGCCATCCCTCTGCCACCCTCACAGGTGCTGTGACAGAGGGAACATATGTTTCTCCTACCCCAGAGGACAGAGACAACATCTTAGCAGCCACAGCCCCACAGAGCTGGGCTCAGCAGGCCTTGACAGAACTGGAAAGGCAGCCTCTCTCCTGGGCCTGGGCCTGGACTGAGCCTGGGTTGTGGGTGGAAGGGTGGAAGAAAAGCCTGTAGACCCCTCCCAGAAAAGAATCAACAGGCTTGACTGCTCTCCCCACGCTCACTCCCAAACAGTAGAACAGTGGAAAATTCATGGGTTCCAGAACAATAGAGATTTCCTTGGATGTCCTTGTCCTCAGATTCTCTGTGAGAAGTCAGAGTTTACAAGTCCTTAGAGATTCTTTCTCACACGCTCATCATCATACAGATGAGGAAACTGAGATGCAGAGTTCACCCAGGTCTTTTTCAGGTTGTTTTTACTACACCACATTTGCCACATGAACAGAAACTCCCAGAGCTACCACTAAGCAGGATGTATTAGACTCTAAAGGTAGTAGCATAGATGGAGGTTAGATAACAAGTAGAACTTTCTCAGAATAGTAGGTCACAGAAGAAGATGAGAAGCAAAGTAAAGAAAGTGCATTCTCTAAAACAGTAGGGTGGGGGTGGGAGGGATGGAGCCAAAGAATCAGGATAAAATTTTGCAATAAGATAGAAATATAGAGAACACAGGAGAGGGAGCTGACATAGAGCCCAGAGCAAGGACAACTGGGGTGTGGAGCTTCTGGGGTTCTTCATTCAGGACCCCTAGATTTCATCTGTCCCAGGCTTCTGGGTATCACCATTAGTTTAAAGTCAGGCCTTATCTGGGCTGATTCTCTTGGCTTTCTCCTTGTTCTCCCGGGATGGCTTATCTGGCTGCCAGAGTCATTTGCCGTTTCTAATTTATGTTTAAATTAAAGTTCCCACAAACAGAGGTTTAATGTGCTGTTACCAAGAACTCCCAGGCCCCCTGCAGCTCTGGGAAGTTGAAGGGGCTGGGGAGAAGAGGTCAGTCTGTGCGCATCCCATCGAAGCTGATCCCACTGGCATTGGACCTGGAGTGGATAACCCAAATAAGTGTCTCCGTCCTTGCTGCTCCATCCAGAATGGTGATGACAGGGGGCAGGGCAGGGAAAAGCATGCTCACAAAGGGCCTGGGACCAACATGCCTGTTCAGGGGTTTCTGGGTGGCTCTTCACCCTTTTTCAGGATGGCGAGGAGAAGGCAGGGGAAGTGGGCAATGATAAGAGGGCAGGGGGTGGAAAATAAGGAGAGAGCAGGAGGCTCCATTCTTTAACACTTGTGTATGGCGCTCACTGTGTGCTAGCACTGTTCCTGGGCACCTCATAACTACAAATTCAACCTTCTACACAACCTGTAAGGCAGGTGTTATTATCATTAGCCCCATTTTTATAGATGGGGAAACAGAGGCATGCCCAGTATCACACAGCTAGTAAGAGGCAGATCCAAGGAGTCAAGCCAGTGCCGTCTAGCTCCAGATTCCCAGTGTTATGCTGACACTTAAGCCAAGATTTATCTGTCACCCTCCCAATCCCTTGATCACAAGGTGAGGCTTCTCTTTGCCAGAGCAACTGAGACAAAGTGAAGCTCCCATCCTGCTCCCCAGATCTTTACCTCTTTGGGCCGCAGTCTTCTCATCTGTAAAATGAGGATAAGATACTAGGAGGGGTTGAGGGTCCGGGAAGGTTTAATGAGACAGCTTGTCAGTGACCAGCACAGGGTAGGTCCCCAGCAGTGGCTGCTTCCTTCTCTGTAGTCTAACCATGAACCTTCCTGCTGTGCCTTCCTGCACTGCCTCTTAACTCTGCTTTCAAAGGATCTAGAGGCATTGATCCTTGCCCCTTAAAGAAAACCCTCAGGAGAGCGTTGTTCCTCATTCATTTGTCCAAATTCTCTCTCTTCCTCTGGGAAACCCTGAAAAAGAGGGATAATAAAGCTGAACTGGAGCCCCAACCTGCTCTGTCCCCACCTCCTCTGCACCCAGGTGAGCCAGTCAGGGTGGCAACAGAGAATAAATGACACATTCGAAAGTGTTTCACTGAAGGGTTTAGTGATGTGACAGTTTCTAAAGGCATAGACCAGATGAAGAAAACTAATAAGGGCTAGTGTGGCACCAGGATAGAAATATCTCTACCAAAGCCCGATGCCAACTGTGCTCACAGGACACAGGAGAGAGGCCACTCAGCAAAGCTGTGACCATGGAGGAACCACAACCACCACCAGAGCTTCAGGCAGGCAAAAAGGGGGGCTGACAGGGAATGGGGGAAACAAATACCCTGACTCCTCTCTCCCCGTTCTCAGCTGGGACCTCTATTGGCCGAGAGATCAGGGGGCCCAGGTGACACAGTCTGCAGAGGTCAGCCTCCCTGGGCAGAGCAGCACAGAGAACACAGTGAGGCAAACAGAAAACCATCCCCGTCCCATTCCACCCGCGAGTCCCTGCTCTGATACCAAAGCCTTCTCTCTGCTGCTTTATTGCCACCTCTGTCACTGCCTGCAGCCAAACAGTGACTGACAGGGAAGGAGAGTCAAGAGTCCTTCAACGCAAATACTCCAGCTCACAAGGAAGGTGGGATCCAGGCAGAGGGCAGCTTGAGGGAAGAGGGCTGTGTCTGAAGGGCAGCAGGGCAGGGACTGCCCACTCCCAGCATGGAGAGACAAAGAGAAGGACCGCACTGGGGGTGAGGATGTCAAACGGCGATAGTAAATGACTCTCTTTCCTCAGCATATGATACAAATCACTGTGCATCTTCCTTCCTCCTCCCCTCTCTAGACCGGGAGCCCCTGTGGGGAAGGGATTTTGTCTTGTTCATCCTTGACATCTAGCACAGTGCCTCTTAGGGGCATAATCAGAATTTATTGAATAAATAAGCAAATAGATATATAAACGAAGGAACAAACCCATTTGCAGCTCATATGCACAGCCCTGGGCCCTGGTCAGGGAGCACTGTTGAATGAATGACATGCAGCATTCCTACAGAAGTTTTATTTCAATCAGTTCCATCATCTACCACCTCAGGTTTCCTTTCAGCCACTCAGTCATGGGCCACACAGCCCACGTTTGTCTCCACGCTGGCCAGAGGCTGTGCTTTGATAGCACCCACTCAAATGTGCAGTGACCTCATCAGGCTCCTCCTGATGGAGGAATAAGGGGAGTAGCAAGTGACTTCCTTTCTCACAGCAGCCTTTCTGTGAGCTCTTTCTTGAGAGAAATCTTGATCCATGGCAAACCGTCTGTGGTATTCTCGGCTGTAGCCCTTGGCGGGAGATGGGAGGAGGGAATGACAGTGCCAAGGAGGCAGCTGAAGGATCATCACCCTGGAAGCCACAGCTCTGGCTTGCTTTTTCCAGTGGGCCATAAAGACTGAGGGAGGCAGGCGGAAGCAGGGGCCCCAGACTAACAAACTATAGTTTCAAGTGTAGTCCCCATGCAAAGCCCACCTGGTGAAGTGGTTAGACACAGATGCTGGGGCTGGGCTCAGGATCCCTGTTCTACCACCTGTTGGCTGTACAACCTTGGGCAAGATACTTGATTACCATGCCTCAGTTTCTGCATCTTAAAAAATGTGAATAACAGTAATGCCTACTTCACATGGTGGTGAAAAAGTAGATGAGTTAATAGTTATGAGATACAGCCAGGCCTGGTGGCCTGGGCCCATAGTCCTAGCTACTCAGAAGGCTGAGGTGGAAAGATTGCTTGAACCCAGGAGTTCAAGACCAGCCTGGGTAACATAGCAAGACCGCTCCCCCCTTTATTTTTTTGAGATGGAGTTTCACTCTTGTTGCCCAGGCTGGAGTGCAATGGCATGATCTCAGCTCACTGCAACCTCCACCTCCTGGGTTCAAGTGATTCTCTTGCCTCAGTCTCCGGATTCCAGGGATGAACCACCACACCCAGCTAATTTTTGTGTTTTGCATTTTTAGTAGAGATGGGGTTTCACCATGTTGGTCAGGCTGGCCTCAAACTCCTGACCTCAGGTGATCTGTCCACCTCAGCCTCCCAAATTGCTGGGATTACACGTGTGAGCCACTGTCCCTGGCTGCAAGACACCCATCTCTCTAAAAATGAAAGTTTTGAACTATTTAGTAGAGTACATGATCCATGGTAAGCTCTATATAAATTTTGTTACATAAAATTAAGGTTCTAGTCCCATAAACTTTTTTCTGTAATAAACTGCTCAGCCTTAGATACCTCTCATATTTGCTGTGAGAAGTGAACAAATGCATGTGAAAACTGTAATGTGTTTATAATTTTTATTATTTGTCATCAAGATCATGTAAGAGACCTGATTTAGTAGAGGGTGAAGGGATGCGAAAGGGGCTGTCAGTCATCAACTTTTGATTATCTGCCTTGTTAAGGTCCCCTTCTGGTCAACATCATCAGCTCTTTGGCTTGTTCAAGTCTTTTATTGACAATATCCAGGCCTCTCATGGTCCCTCCCACACACAACGGGTGCACAGCAAGGGCTGGAAGGAAAAAGCCTTTGAAAGCAAAACGGGTCCTTCCCTTCCTTAGCCTTGAAGCGGGAATAACCACTAGACAGAAGGCTGTGAGGGAGGACTCTGGCACTTCCACTGTGGCTGCTTTGCCTTTGGGCAGGAGGGGAAACTGATCAGCTCCCTCTGTAAGGCTGCAGGAAGAGATATTGGCATTTGTTATGAAGTGTTAGGAATAAAAACACATACATGGCCGGGTGCAGTGGCTCACGCCTGTGGTCCCAGCACTTTGGGAGGTCGGTGCAGGCAGATCACAAGGTCAAGAGTTTGGGACCAGCCTGGCCAACATGGCGAAACCCCGTCTCTACTAAAAATACAAAAATTAGCCAGGTGTGGTGGCCGCCACCTGTAATCCCAGCTACTCAGGAGGCTGAGGCAGGAGAATCACTTGAACTCAGGAGGTGGAGGTTGCATTGAGCTGAAATCATGCCATTGCACTCCAGCCTGGGGCAACAAGAGCAAAACTCCATCCCGAAAACAAACAAACAACAACATCAACAACAAAAAAAAACAGAAAACAAAAAACAACAACAAAAAAAACCCATACACACATACTTATCCCAGTGTCCAGAGCAAATGTTCTGCCACTTACTGCTATGGGTGTGATTTCAGATAGCTACTTAAACCATGAGTTTTGGTTTTTCTCATCTTCAAAATGGAAATATTGATGCCTAATTCAAAGGGTGAAAATTAATGAACTATAGAAACTCCTTGGTGTATGTCTGGTCCAATAAAT
>NC_000020.11:29540284-29556103 GCF_000001405.40 Homo sapiens | reverse complement strand
GGTTCATTCATTCATTGAACAGTGTTTAGAAGTTTGAACAAGCTGGAACAACTTGCCATCATTTTGTTCACTTGTATTCATCTTACTCTCACCACTAGAACTGCAAGGTCCATGAGGGCAGAGGCAGTGTCTGTTGCTGGGTGAGTGACTGGATTGACCTCAAAGCATGTCTGAAGACTGAAATGGTCCAGGCAAGGAGATGGAAACTGGAGGCCTGGATTCTGGGCTCAGTCATACATCCAAGAACATAACTTTCCCTCGACCCTGGAGTCTTCACAGACCTTCCTTCCACTGTGAGGCACTGGAGAATCACTTGAGACCAGACTCAGGGAACTCTTCCCTCATGGGAAGACATTCATTCATCCACTCCATGTCTCTGAAGCCCCAAGAGAAGGATCTGAATCCCCTAGTCTGAAGAGTCAGCAAGTTTCCAACATAGCAATCGTGATAAAAAGGGAGAATTGAAAAAGGAGGGAGCAGCCCCACCTCAGTAACAATAGAGGTAGGAAAATTCCAGCTAGTACATGTACTTAATATGAAAGCAGACATGTGCCAAGACCGTGCTTTCATGGATATTAGGTGTTCCCAAATATAAGAAACACCCATTCTTGCCCACAGGCCTCACTGGATACTATCCAAGATGTCTAGAGAATGAGAGGAAAGAGAGAATAGTAATATCCAAAAGGTGAAAACAACACAAATGTTCACCAATAGAAGAACGGATAAACAAAGTGTGATATATCCATACAATGGAATATTAGTCAGCCTTGAAAAGGAATGAAGTACTGATAAATGCTACAACATGGATGAACTTTGAAAACACTATGCTCAATGAAAGAAGCTAGTCACAGTAGGTCTCTTATTATATGATGCCATTCATATGAAAGTCCAGAATAGGGAAATCTACAGAGACTGAAAGTACATTAGTGTTATTAAGGGCAAGAAGGAATATGGGAGGATAGGGAGGTGATAGCTAAAGGTTACAAGATTTCTCTTTGAGGTGATGAAAATGTTCTAAAATTAACTATGGTTATGGTTTGACGTACATGTGAATATACTAAAACCACTGAATTGTACATTTCAAATGGTGAATTGTATGACACATGAATTATACCTCAAGAAAGTTGTTTTTTAAAAAGACAGTGTAAGGGGTAGGGGGAAGTTGAAATGAAGCAGGAAAACTGTGATCAGGAACAAAGCTCAGGGGCTGTCTGGCCTGGTTGCCCCAAGTCAAAGCCTGCATTTCATACAGGCAATGTTAGGGTAGCCCCCAAACCACGATTCGGAAAGATAAATTGACCCCAGAAGGTATAGGGCTGGGTCCCTTCTCCCCTGACAGCTCCCTTTCTGTGTTTTTTCTGGCACAAGAAACTCTGTCATCTTGTATAAATAGGAGAAATTTATGGCAGTTTTCCTTCTTCTTCTCCCTGGTGGGCTACTAGGAAAGGTCCAGGGGGAGGAGGGAGCCTGAAATTCCAAAAATATAAATGTGGAAAGACTGGAGGGTGTCGAGGAGTCTCTTTGCCTGCCTTGGCTCTGGCCCCAGCTCTCCTTTCCCTTTGCATGTTTGACCATCTGGGTGATGCGGAGGGCAGAGAACTGATGCAGCCCGTTCTCTTTGCAAGCCCAAAAGAGATGGGTCCCAAAGCAGATATCCGACAGGAGGGGCACAAGGGAAATCAAGGAAATAGGCTTGGCTGTCCCATGAAATTATTGGAGGAGACACAGACCACTGCCCTCCTTCCTGGATTTGGCTATTTTTGTACTTCCCTGTTTGTTGAGGCAGCCTGATACAGTGGGAAGAGAACTCGTCCTAGATTTAGAAAGATTGACAGAGAAACTAAGTGTGCGACCTTAAGCAAGTCATATCTTCTCTCTGGGCCTCACCAGTAAAAAGAGGGAGGGGACTGAATTTATCAGGGGTTTTCACATGAGTTTAACTCTGGGCTCCTTCCTTCAAATAAAACCGTATGTAGTGACCCAACATGAACATGAGTAGTAGCCTGCTGAGCTTCTTGAAGGTAGGAATGGGAGTCTCAGGGCCCTGTGGTGACTGGCGAGAGGCTTGTCCAAGCACAAGATGATCTCCATGGCTTTTCCAGCCCTGTCCTCAGGAGGGATTTTCCCCCACGGTGAAGAGGCTCAGTTCTGCACACCCAGTGGGCTTGAAATCCAGCCCCAACCCCTCCTGTGTGTCCCTCAGCACATAACTTACCTTCCTTGAACCTGTTTCCTCGTGTGTAAATTGGAATAATAGTAACACGTATCTCAGAGGATTGTCACATAGATTACACTAAATAATGTGCATAGAGTCCTTCGCATACTATCTGGCCCAATAAATATCATTATAGTTATTCTGTGATCTCATGTAATCAGTTTTTTATTTTGAGACAGAATCTCATTTTGTAGCCCAGACTGGTGCACAGTGGCATGATCTCGGTTAACTGCAACCTCCACCTCCTGGGTTCAAGCAATTCTCCTGTCTCAGCCTCCCAAATAGCTGGGATTACAGGAGTGTGCCACTGTGTCCAGCTAATTTTTGTATTTTTTAGTAGAGATGGGGTTTTACCATGTTGGCCAGACTGGTCTCCAACTCCTGGCCTCAAGTGATCCACCTGCCTCAGTCCCGCACAGTGTTGGGATTACAGGCATGAGCCATCGCACCTGGCCTGATATAATCTTTTTAATTTGAAATATCTGGTGTGAGAAGGTGAATTAGAAAGGATGACAGCAAAACTGCTATAACATAAAGGCCCCAAAACACAGTAGCATATAGAAAACAGAAGTTTATTTCTCACTTAGTCTGGGAGGAAGCGGTTCCAGTCAGCAGGCAGCTCTGTTCCTCCTAGTCAGTCAGGGAAGTGTGTTCCTTTCATATCTTTGTTTTGTCTTCTCTTAGGGATATATTTTCAGTTGCCTGGTCAAACCTGTCTCAGGCACATCTGCCCAGCTCATGAAAGAGAGAACACAAAGGAGAATTTACCCAGTGCCGTCAGGCTTTGAGGACATGCTCGCCTCACATTCCCCTGTGTCTACACCTGGCAACAAGAGCAGCTGGGAAATGGAGTGTCCAGCTGGGTGTCTCTCCACCCTCGGGCAGCAAGGAAAGAAGAGATTTTAGTGGACAATGGGCAGTCTTAATCCAGGGCTCAAACCCACACCTGAGCTGTCCTCTTCCTCTTCTCTTCCCAAAGGAAGGGAAATAAAGTCTACAGCCCAGAAAACAATGTGACCATCCATCCCCTACCCAATAAGGTCCCTGCCATTCATCCCAAGATCAGCAGTCTCCAGAAAGTGGCTTGGAAGCCTCCCTCCAGAAAGACCACCCTTCTGTCCATCTTCTTCACATGGGTGGATGTGAGAAAAGTTTCTGTCCCCACTGCCTGCCTGCCACTCCCTGTCTCAGTTTCAGCTCACACTCTAGCCCTTTGTTCCCAGTCACCAAGAGTGACTACAAATGTGGGGGAACAGGAGGACCTGAAACAGTCATGGAAATTGAGACTGGGACACAGAAGCCATGCTCAGAGGCAGCCTAGGTGAGGGTTCTGATGCCAGGAAATCCAGCTACTACTGTGTAACCTAAAGTGGGGATTAAGCTCTCAGAACTTCAATGATCTCTTTTGGAAATAGGGATAAGAAACCCACTTGTCAGGGCTGTTGTGAACATCAAATGTGATCATGTATGTACCTAGTACATAGTATGCCTTCAATAAATGGTAAGGCAAATGGAAGGCAAATCAAATTCATGTCCATTACTCTGACCAGCCTTTGCATAAATTCTTTTTTCTTCTCCTTCCTTGTCAATGCATGGCTCCCTCCCTCTTCTTTACTTCCTATCCTCATTCCCCTACCATCTGAACCCTGATCTGGAATCTCTTTTCTCAGGAAATCTTCCATGATTGAAAAATTCCTGCTTGACCACTTCCCACTCCAATACTCTATCTTTGCCCATCTTCCATCTACCCCATGGTCCTGGCCCAAGTTTAAATGTGTCCCATCCCTCCCTTCAAAAAGCATGCAGCAATGGAAGGGCTTTAAGTTTGTCATCAAGCAGATCAGAGTTCAGATGCCAACTCTGCCAAGTTCTAGCTTTAGGACTTTGTCAGATCACTTAATCTCTTTGAATCTCTGTCTTCCCAACCCTCTGGTGAGGTCAAGTGTGTGTGAGCTGGTACATAAAGGATATTTAATCTCCTCTGCTCTACCCAACCTCCCCCAACTCACACTCCCAGGACTAACTCTCTACTAAAGGGAGTTATTAGACCAAGAAAGTAATTCTCCTATTACCAGATCCACCCCAACCCTGCCCAGGGAAAAAGAAGTGACTTCGAGTCTATGGGTCTTGGAGGGACCACCAACCCAAGAGCTAGAGCAGAGGAAGGACTTGGATATCCCAGCTTCCAGGGTTATAGGATCTCTCCCCAAGCCCACATATGCAGACCCAGTTACAGGACTAGCTTCAGGGATAGGAGTGAAAGAGTTGATCTGATTCCAATCTTAGCCTGTAAGTAGTAGCTCACCTGTGCCTCTATTTTCAACCTTCCTAGATCAGAAGAGCAACAATATCAATGACAACTAATGCTTACATAGTGTTTCCTATGGGATGGGCATTGTTCCAGGCTCTTCGTACATATAACTCATTTAATCCTGACAGCAGCCTTTGAGCTAGGTACTATTAACCCCGTTTTACAGACAAGGAAACTAAATCACAAGGGGTTAAGTAACTTGCCTAGGTCATACAACTCACATAAGGCATGACCGCGATTCAAAACCAGGCCGTCTAGCTCCAGAATCCATCCTGTTAACCACTCTGCCATAAAAAGAGCTAACATTTACTGGCAGTTTCTATGTGCCAAGCACTGTGGAAAACACATGGCATGTATTTCTTCTAATTCCAAATAACCCCCTGAGATAAGTTCTATTATTAGTATCCCTGTTTTACAGGTCAAGAAACTAAGGCAGAGAGAAAAGTTAAGCAACTTGCCCTGAGTCACACAGCTAGATATTAATAGTTTCAGAACTCCTAGCTGTTTTGCCTCAAATCCCACCTCCCCACCCCTGCTTGAAGCCCCTCCCCTTCTAGGTGGGTTGTTTAGTTCCTATCACCAGTTCTTCACGAATCTGCTTTACCCCCCACAGCCTTCAACCCTTGTTCTCCAAAACTCCTGTTGACCTCCATCCCTTTCCCTTCCCACTTTCTCCCTAGTCCCTCCGCTCCCCACGAAGTCCCCCAAACAATTCTGTCCCTCTCCCTCTGCTCCCCACCCACCATCCCCCACAACTCCTGCTGAAACAGATGAATTTCACCAAAAAAGAACATCAGACTTTCCCCAAGCAGTCCCCCACTGTGCCTGATCGCACACCCTCAGGGGAGGCACCACAGTGGCTAAGCTGGAGAGCCAGAAATAAAATCCTCATTCTACTTCCCTGCCCCCTCTTCCCATCACTCATCTGGGAATCCAGGGTGAAGAAGGGAGCTAAAGTGCAGAGCATTCATTTAATATTAACAAATTGAAATGAATTCTTTTAATGCCAATTAACTTGGAGTGGCCCCTTATTAATAGTAACTTAGATTCATACTTGGGAGAAGCAGGCACGGGGGCTGGGCCAAATGTGCCCAGAATGTCAATGTGACTGGGGAACTGAAAGGGGAGGGGCGGCATTTTTACTTCTGCCCAGTTGGGTTCTGTTTCCCTGAGAGAAATGGACAGTCACTGGAGGCGGATCTTTGGGAAACACAAATTACTCTTGTAAGTTTATTTTTGTTACTTCAAGGAATCTGAATAGTTTGAAGCCATGTCACACTATTTTAATAATTTATTTTCACAGTAATGCTAAAAAGAAGAATTTCCTCAGAGCTGGGATTTACTTCAAACTCTCTCCTAAGCCAAACCTTACTGACTAAAGGGACAAGTCCCCAGGCCAGCTCTCTACCCTTCTTTGTTCAGAGCTAGAGCCAGAGATCAATATGGGCTTCCCCAATCCCTGCCCCTTCTACCTTAACAAAAACTAAAAGGAAGAATCAACACTGTATGTCTCTCTGAGAAGTCTCCCCCAGGAGGTAAAAGACCCAAAGGGCTGACCCCTAAGCTAACAGCTTACATTTAAGGAAGAAAAACAATCTGCCTGCACTTTTCTTAGAATTTAGGGAAAAAATGAGAATTTAAAATTCAATTTCATGTATCAGAGTTCTCCAGAATACAGCCAAGTGGAAAGAACTTAGTCCCAAATGAAAAAGTTGGACAGAAATTCTGCTCTCACTCGTTTTGCCGGCTTGGAGGTGAGACTGGAGGTGTCCTGAACTAGAACCAGAGCATAGGTTCTGACCCAAGAAGGACACTGTCTACTTCCCAGGCATCCGTCCTTCGCTGGGAGGAGAGGGGAGGATGAGTCCGTTGGAAGCTGAGAATTGTGGAAGCTGGGGATGGGAGTTTTGAGATGGAGGAGGCAGGCGCATGAAGGAGGTCAGGGAAAGGCAAGTAAATCTACTAACCATTGCCGTTTATAAAATAAAAACCTTAAAAATGGTTTAACATGCAAAAGGTTAAATTTTAAAAAGAGGTCAGGTTTTAAAGAAGGTAAAATACCTCAAATTTAAACATAATAAAAATGAGGAAAATACACAAAACATTTCAAGCAAATTGTTCTTCAGAAGAGGAGAGGTTGGAATTAATCAAAAGACCTTTTTTACACACACCACCCCAAGAGTTTCCCAAACAATAAATTCATTTACAAAACAAAAAGAGGAATCAACACAAAACCTCATCCACATACAGAGAAAAATAAATTGTGGTGATTCTGTAACAGCTGAAAAACTAGTGAGGGAGGAGAAAAATGAATAAACTCTAAATCCATTAGGTGATATTTATAAATAGCAAAATTGGAGGATGGAATGGAGAAAGGAGTTGCACTTATCATTAAAGAAGTAACACATGTGAAAACATAAGGTGTAACTCATCCCCAAAGAAAAGTAAACTCTCCATAAAGTAGCAAGTATAGAAATTTATTGAAAAGGAGGAAAGTACCTCTCACCCCCCCCCCAATATAAGTGTATTAATTTGAATTAAAATTTTCTCCAAATCCGAGATAGGTTACACAAAAGAATACAAAAAGAATTTTTTTCTTTCAACTAAGAGGAAAAACAAAATCCGATTTAAATTCACTAATGGGACAGGAAGGGAGGCTGTGGTTTGCAGGTGCTAGTAAACGGGATGAGGGTTGTGAAGAGTTTGAGGGGTAGAGGACCAGCTTACCTCGCTTTGGAGCCGCGGCGGCCAACAGGAGTGGGAAAAGGACCCTGCCAGTGCCTGAGTGATAGGGGAAATAAGGAATAGGGGATTCGGGTGCCCCTAGACGAATGAGGAGGATGGAAAAACTGGGGGTGCCCATCTCCCCTCCTCTGCCCGCCTCCCTCCCTCCGGTACCCAGGCCTAGAGAGTTACTGAAAGTTACAAATTGCTTCCATTATTAGCTCATCCCGGGCGGCCTGGTCATTGGCCAGCCCCTGGCCACGTGGTCCCTCATACCAATCTATCGAATTTCTAGTCGCAATTCTCTGTCTGTCCCTCAGCTCTGGGGAGAAAGTGGGGGCTGTGGCGTGGGGGCTGAGGTCCAGTTTGGGGCGGGGTGGGAGAGGAGTGCTTGAGTATCCTGTCCCCGGGCCAACCCCCCAGGAGTCCAGTCTTCAGGACCTCCTTGAGCCGACTTCCACCTATGGAGGGGGATCTTCAGGGTGCCTGCTGGGTTCTCAGGACTCCTCTTCAGATCCTAGTTTGGACCCCTCCGGGTTAGAAAGGATGGGCTCAGCACATCTGGTGAGGCAGGCAGGTCCTCGCTGCAGCACAGAATGATCCCATGGCCCTCAAGGCGTGGTGTCAGCTGAAAGTTCACTGATCCGTGAGCCCTCTGCCTCCCTCCTCCGTTGAAAGAGCAGTGGCGTGCCCCGCTTCTAAAAGCCCTGGGGCTCCTGCAAGCGGACACCGCTTTCCAGGACAGGTGCAAACAGGGACGGTGTGAAGCCGAGGTGGAGACAATGCGATCACGCGTGGCACTGGCATATCCCACAGCAGATGGTGTGAATGTGCGTCACCGGAGGCAAATGGGGTGACGGCGAAACCAACAGTGGTGTCCAGGCATGTGCCCAGTGGAAAGGGGGATCAAGTGGCCTTTCCCTGAGTGCCAAGGGAACTCAAAGAAGACCTGGGAACCTGGACAGGGCCTGTGCCTCAGTCCAAGCCACATTTTGAAATGCCTGCCAGAGGAGCACACAGGTTTCTGCAACATTCACCCCACCCCGAAGCCTCCACCGCCCAGGTAGCCCTGACGCAACCTTCCCTGCACCCAGCCCCAAACCCATCCCCAGGCCCAGCCCAGTTCCTTTGGTTTCCTGACATTCATTACAGCCAAAAGATTCAAGGAATCAGTCCACCTATGAGCAGAGGAGAGGATATCCCTCATTTGTAAGACAGGACGTGCAGAGGAAATGGGACACCACCTGTCCTAGAAGACAAGGCCAGTCATGATCACCTAGCGCTTATTCTAGGCAATCCACCCACCCATGAGGTGAAGCAAGGAGACCAAAGAAGCTTCCCTGTCTGAGACACGCATGGAAGCCAAGTGTTCCAGGCTTATCAGACCTGCCCAATCCAGCAGAAACAGGTTTGGAGAGAGAAAGAGTCATGTCACGCATCTCCAGAAAGTGTCTCCCTGATGGACTGGGAAGCGATCTTCGTAGAAGTTATTAGCCAGACCAAGAGGCAACTAGGCCCCTCAGAAACAGGGGAGACAGAGCAAGAGGGAGGACAGAGCAGAGGCCAGAGCCCAGGCAGGTTACAGGACCTTGCCACTGCCACGGGCATAAGGGGAGGGGTGTGAAACGCGTGACTTGTCCAGAGAGGCCAGCATTCCAGGGACAGGGATTGTTGCCGTCTCCCATTCCCGGCTTCCTCCTCAGAATTGTATCGTGGTGTGGCTTCATTGCTCAGAGAAGAGCCGTGCAGGGGTACAACCATCTTCTTGGAGGTGGGTCTGCTCCTCTCCTGCCGGACAATGAGCTGCTGTTGGGTTTTGTCCTGGGCTGGAGTGTGGTCCTCTTGATCCTAGAAAAGAGGCCGCTCAGGATGGGGATGAGACTTCGATTGCTCCGGGACCGACGCGTCTCCTCACGTGATCGAGGACTTCAAAAACCCAAAGTGGAACCGCCGTGAAAATGATGGACAACCGGCCACGGGACCCAGGCAGAGAGGCTCAACAAAGACTGGCCGACATGGAAAAAATCGCATTTTGGCGAACAGAGCACATTCGTCCAAAGATACACACGCACACGGGCGTACACACACAAACACGCACACACACAGACCGACAGAGAGAGGGAAAGAAACACACAGAGGGTGAGAGACAGAGAGAAAAGAGAGAATGGGAGACACACACACACAGTCCTACAGTGGTGGCACAGAAACACACACTCCCTGGCAACCCCTGAGGCTAATTAATAGTGGAAAATATGCATCTAAGAATACACTTGGAACAGAAATGTGAAAAACCGAAAGTAAGAGATATAATGAAGGATCAAATATAAAATGACCCAGTGCTAAAGAGGCAACAAAGAAAATTGTAGAAGAAAATGTCAAGAGGCATTGTGCCTTAATGAGTTTGTGCTACTATATAAGAAAATACACTAGGCTGGGTAATTTCTGAAGAACAGAAATGTATTTCTCACAGTTCCATAGGCTAGAAGTCCAAGATCAAGGTGCCAGCAGGATTGGTGTCTGGTGAGGGCCTGGTCTCTGCATCCAAGATGGTACCTTGTGCACTGTGTCTTCAGGAGGAGATGCACTGTGTCCTCACATGGCAGAAGGCGGAAGTGCAAAACAGGGGAAGCCCACTCCCTCCAGTTGTGTAAGGATCCTAAACCCATTTGTGAAGACTCTCCCTTCATGACTGAATCACTACCTAAAAGCCCTACTTCCTAATCTTATGACATTGGTGATTAATTTTAGGGGGACACATTCAGAGCATAGCACCCTATATTCAATTTCTTAAAAATTATTTTGTTGTTTTGTTTTTCTGTTTTTCAAATGGCTTAAAGTGCTCAAAATTGGATTAATCATAATCCTTGGCTCATAGCACACCTTGGCTCCTATTTCATCCTTGTCTGTGCCTGAGCCTCTGTGTAAATGTATTTGAACAATAGAGTAATCACTTGTGAACTTACAACACAACCAAAGAACTAGGGTTCTGACCCTACCATCTGCTCCTCCTCTGTCCTTTTTCCTGATTTTCATCCTTCAGCCCGAGGGTAACTACTACCCTGAATTTATGTTTAGGATTCTCTTCCTTTAAAATAAAAACATTGTTTTATTGTATACATATGATTACCCTAAATGACATATTATTTAGTTTTTAAGGGTATAATTTATTTACCAATTCTCCTATTAATTTACCCATTCTCCTATTAATGAACATTTGGTTTATTTCCAGATTTTTGCCATTATGAATGGCATTACATGAGCATTTTTTTTTTTTTTACTACTTCTGGTACATATGGGCAAGAGTTTCTCCAGGGCCTACGGTAAAGGAATTACTTTGCCATAACATATGAGAATGCTCAAATTTATAAGATAATCCAAATTGCTTTCCAAAGTGGTTGTTCTAATTTAAACTCTCACCGACTGTATTAGTTCGACATGATCTTGTTGATCCAGTCTCTCCATATATGGTGATATGGTTTGGCTGTGTCCACACCCAAATCCCAGCTTGAATTCTATCTCCCAGAATTCCCACATGTTAGGGGAGGGACCCAGGGTGTGGTAATTGAACCACAGAGGCCAGTCTTTCCTGTACTATTCTCAAGATAGTGAATAAGTCTCATGAGATCTGATGGGTTTATCAGGAGTTTCTGCTTTGGCTTCCTCCTCATTTTCTCTTGCTGCTGCCATGTGAGAAGTGCCTTTTACCTCCTGCCATGACTCTGAGGCCTCCCCTACCATGTGGGACTGTAAATCCAATTACAGTTCTTTTTCTTTACACCTCTTTTTCTTCTCAGACTTGGGTATGCCTTTATCAGCAGTGTGAAAACAGACTAATACAGTAAATTGATACCAGTGGAGTAGGGTGCTCCTGAAAAGATACCCAAAAATGTGCAAGTGACTTTGAAACTTGGTAACAGGCAGAGATTGGAACAGATTGGAGGGCTCAGAAGAACACTGTAAAATGTGGGAAAATTTGGAACCTCCTAGAGACTTGCTGAATGACTTTGACAAAAGTGCTGATAGTGTATTGAACAATAAGTTCCAGGCCGAGGTGTTCTCAGATGGAGATGAGGAACTTCTTGTGAACTGGAACAAAGGTAACTCTCGTTATGTTTTAGCAAAGAGAATGGCAGCATTTTGCCCCTGTCCTAGAGATTTGTGGAACTTTTAACTTGAGAGTGATAATTTAGGGTATCTGCTGGAAGAAATTTCTAAGCAGTAAAGCATTCAAGAGGTGACTTGGGTGATGTTAAAGGCCTTCGGTTTTATAAAGGAAGCAGAGCATACAGTTTTGGAAAATTTGCAGCCTGACAATGTGATAGAGAAGAAAATCCCATTTTCTGAGGATAAATTCAAGCTGTCTGCAGAAATTTGCATAAGTAATAAGAAGCTGAATGTTAATCCCAAAAACAATGGGGAAAATGTCTACAGGGCATGTCATAGGTCATCACAGAAGTCCCTCCTATCACAAGCCCAGGGCCTAGGAGGATAAAATGGATTCCTGTGCTGGGCCAGGTTCACTGTGCTGTGTGTAGACTAGGGCCTTGTTTCTCTGTGTTTCAACGCCTCCAGCCATGGCTGAAAGGGGACAACATAGAACTCAGGCCACGGCGTTAAGAGTGCAAGCACCAAACCTTGGCAGCTTCCATGTTGTGTTCAGCCTGCACATGCATAGAAGTCAAGAATTGAGGTTTGGAAACCTCCACCTAGATTTCAGAGGATGTTTGAAAACACCTGGATGTCCAAGCAGAAGTTTGCTGCAGGGGTGGTGCTCTGATGGAGAACCTCTGCTAGGGCTGTGCAGAAGAGAAATGTGGGGTCAGAGCCCCTATACAGAGTCCCTACTGGGGCACTTCCTAGTGGAGCTGTGAGGAGAGGGCCACTCTCCTCCAGACCCCAGAATAGTAGATTCACTGACAGCTTTCACCATGAGCCTGGAAAAGCTGCGGACACTCAACATCAGCCTATGAAAACAGCCAGGAGGTGGGCTATACCCTGCAAAGCCACAGTGGCAGAACTACCCAAGGCTGTGGGAGCCCACGTCTTGCATCAGCATGACCTTGATGTGAAACATGGAGTCAAAGGAGATCATTTTGGAGCTTTAAAATTTGACTACCTTGCTGGATTTTGGACTTGCATGGGGCCTGTAACCCCTTTGTTTTGGCAAATTTCTCCCATTTGGAACAGCTGTATTTACTCAATTACCTGTACCCCCATTGTATCTAGGAAGTAACTAGCTTGATTTAGATTTTACAGGGTCATAGGCAGAAGAGACTTGCCTTGTCTCAGATGAGACTTTAGAAAGTGGACATTTGGGTTAATACTGAAATGAGTTAAGACTTTGGGGGACTGTTGGGAAGGCATGATTGGTTTTGAAGTGTGAGGACATGAGATTTGGAGGGGCCAGGAGCAGAATAATATGGTTTAACTATGTCCCTACCCACATCTCAACTTGAATTGTATTGCTCAGGATTCCCATGTGTTCGGGGAGGGAACCAGGGGGAGGTAGTTGAATCTTTAGGGCCGGTCTTTCCCATGCTATTCTTGTGATAGTGAATAAATCTCACAAGATCTGATGGGTTTATCAGTGGTTTCATCTTTTGCTTCTTTTGCCTCCTTCTCATATTCTCTTGCCACTGCCATGTAAGAAGTGCTGTTCATCCACCGCCATAACTCTGAGGCCTCCTCAGCCATGTGGAACCCTTAATCCAATTAAGCCTCTTTTTCTTCCCTGTCTCAGGTATGTCTTTATCAGCAGTGTGAATATGGACTAATAAATTTCTTATTGTCAAACTTCTTAATATTTGTGGAGAGAATAGATGTGTAGTATCTTGTGCATTTCCCTGATTACTAATGAGGTTGAGAAAATTTTTATGTTTTGCGGGCTTTCTCTTTTGTTAAATCCCTATTATTGTCTTTTCCCAATTTTCTGTTGGGCTGCTATTTTTAAAATTAATTCATAGGAGCTCCTTATAGTTAGTTGATATGATATTAATCTTTTGTAGGTTTCAGTTACTGCAAATATCTTCTCTAATTTATAGTTTATCTTTTCACTTTTTTACTTTTATTTTTTAATTTATATTTTTTGTTTTTGAGACAGAGTCTCACTCTGTCATTCAGGCTGGAGTGCAGTGGCTCACTGCAGCCTCCACCTCCCAGGTTCAGACCATTCTCGTGCCTTAGCTTCCCAAGTAGCTGGGATTACAGGTGTCTGCCACTAATACCTGGCTAATTTCTTGTATTTTTAGTAGAGATGGGGTTTCACCATGTTGGCCAGCCTGGTCTCAAACTCCTGATCTCAGGTGATGTACTGTTGGGATTACAGGCTTGAGACACTGTGCCCAGCCTATCTTTCCACTTTTTGATGTAAAAAGTTCTTAATTTTGTGATAGTCAAAATGTCCAATCTTTTTTAATGGTTAAATGGCTTTTTGTGTCTCATTCACTTACATTTTCTACTTAAAGTTTTAAAGTTTTGTTTCTGACATGTAAGTCTTTTGTCCATCTGGAATTTAATGTTTGTATATAGAATGAAGTAGGAATATAATTTCATTTTGTTTCTTATATCAATAACCATTATTTTTTTATTCTATTTATTGAAAAGTCATTTCTTTCCTTGCTGATCTGCCATGTCACCTACATCACATATCGAAGATTAAATTGGTGGAGATTTGCTTGGGAACTCTCTATTCTGTTTCATTAGTCAGTGTATCAGTGAGGACCACACTGTCTTAATTGCTGTAGCTTTATAAAACTTCCGATATTTGGCAGGACAAATCTTTCCTCTTCTTCAATGTCTTTGATATTCTTGGCCCCTTCCCTTTTCCATATATATATATATTTTATATATATGTGTATATATATATATTTTATATATATGTATATATATTATATATGTATATATATTTTATATATATGTATATATATATATATATAGAGAGAGAGAGAGAGACAGACAGACAGACAGACAGACAGAGGTCTCACTTTGTTGCCCAGGCTTGAGGACAGTGGTGCAATCATAGCTCACTTCAGACTTGAACTCCTGGGCTCAAGAGCTCCTCCTACCTCAGCCTCCCAAGTAACTGGGACTCTAAGGCATGCACCACCATATCCAGCTAATTTTTTTAAAAAAATATTGTTTTTTGCAATGACGGGGATCTTGCTATGCTGCCCAGGCTGGTCTCAAACTTTTGGCCTCAAGCAATCCTCCCACCTCAGGCTCCCAAATTGCTGGGATCACAAGAGTGAGCCACCACACCTGGCTTCATTTTCCATATTTTAAGACCATTTTTAAAAAGCTGCTCAAGACCGCTTTTTTCTCTTAGTGTTACTTAGCCTTGGAAATACTGTTAGTGAAGAAAATCTAAAGAGTCAAAAAATAAAATATTCTTTCTTTTCTTCCAATTGCAAAAGAGCAGACACCCTCCTGAATCATAAAGCTAGTTTTGATAAATTGGTGAACTGAGAGCATACACAGTATTATTAATTCTGTTCTAATTTCTGCTTCACTGTGGAGTGTCTTCACAGAGTCTTAAAAGATTATTGCTATGACATATTCTTATACATGTAACACATAACCTCTACAATTCTGCAGTTGTGTTTGGCTGTCTTACCTAATACTCAGTTGCTTTGCTTCAAAATATTTAAAATGGCATCTCTAATTTCCAAAAGGCATAAATACTAGTATAGATTTTTAGTTAAGCCAGAAGAAAGTAGACTTTATTTACTAATATATCTTATATGTAAAAGTTTAATAAATCTCCCTGCTTCTTTTCTTTTGCAACATAACAACCACTGAAAATAGTATTTCTATAGCAGTTGGGGGTAAATAGACAATGACTTTTGTGGCCAGAGGTGAATGGCCCAGGGGCTCCTGCACTCCAGGTCCCACTGAGCCTGCCACACAGCTGAGGGCATCGGTATTTCCACACACCTATAGTGCATGCTGTCCCAGAACACAGATCAGATGCTCTCCTATATTCAAATGGGGAGTTGAGAGTATTGTCGTTGTAATTAAATTAATAAATACATATTTATACACTGTTAAAATCTGGTTGGCTTTGTGTCCCTTCACAAAACAAATTGCTTAAATGAAACTACAGAGTTAATATAATTGAGTACATTTGCTTCTATGAGATGCTCTTTTAAGTGGAATTAGAATCTAATTTGAAATGTCAATTAAAAGTTTAAATATTCAACTCAATAACATTTAGATTTTTGTTTTGTTTTGTTTTGAGAGGGAGTTTAGCTCTTGTCACCCAGGCTGAAGTGCAATGGCACAATCTCAGCTCACTGCAAGCACCTTCTCCTGGGTTCAAGCGATTCTCCTGCCTCAACGTCCCGAGTAGCTGGGATTACAGGTGCCTGCCACCACACCCAGCTAATTTTTGTATTTTCAGTAGAGATGGGGTTTCAGCATGTTGGCCAGGCTGGTCTTGAACTCCTGACCTCAGGGGATCCACCCACCTCGGCCTCCCAAAGTGCTGGGATTTGGGGCATGAGCCACCATGCTCGGCCTTTTTAGATTACTTTACTTTATTTTAGTTACTTATCTGTATGACTTTATTGTT
>NC_000020.11:29538783-29540234 GCF_000001405.40 Homo sapiens | reverse complement strand
AAATTACACTCAATTTCTGTGTTTTTAGTTCTCTTTCATTAATGTGTTATTTTTTGTGCCATTTCAAATTTGTTTACTTTGAATAGTAATAATATTAAATATCTTAAATTTTATAATATTGGCTCTCATGTGTGTGCTCAACAGACGAATTTAAAATCACATTTTCTTGTTCAAAAATATTTTTCTTGGAATTTTTATTGGAATTTGAGCATATTTTTAAATAATTTACAGCAAACTAAAGAGTTAATATTATTGAGTCCTCTCATCCAGAATGTGACACACAAATTACTCAAACCTCTTTTAATGCCATTTAGTCAAAATTAATATGTTACATCAATATAAATTAGTATAAATGAATATAAATAATCATTAAAATAATATGTTTGGCTGTACGTGTCTGTCTTCTGCCTTCTATCACTGATGTTGTATTCCTATCCTTGTTGTTTTCTATACTTTCTGTTATTATGTCTTTTTCTATCTTGTGATTTGAAAACTATATGACACATTGTAATCCTTTAATTTCTCTAATTTTTGGCTTTCAATTTTAACTAATTTTATTTTTTAGAGAAGTGCAGGTTCACAACTAAACGGAGCAGAGAGTACAGGCTTCCCATATGTCCCTTTCCCCACACACAGCCTCCCCACTACAGCTTCCTGCCTCACAGGAGCACACCTGTGACAACCAGGAACCTACCTCGACCCTTCATTATCACTCAAAGCTTACAGTGCACATTCACGTTTACTCTTCACGCTGTACATTGTGAGTCTTGAAAAAAGTATAATGTGAATGGGATATTATTCACTGCTAGCAAGAGATGATCTATCAAGCCAGAAAAAAATAAATGGAGGAAACTTAAATGCATATTGCTAAAAGAAGAAGCCAATCCGAAAAGTCTACGTACTGTTCTATTCCAATTATATGACGTTCTGGAAACGGTGAAACCATGGGAACAGTAGAAAGATCAGTGGTTGCCATGGACCAAGGGGAAGGAAGAGATGGATACACAGAGCACAGAGAATGTTCACGGCACTAAAACCATTCTGTATGACACTATAATGGTAGATATATATATTTGTAAAAATCTATCTTAACTTTTAATCTTTTAAATTTTTTTTTTGACGGAGTCCTGCTCTGTGGCCAGGCTGGAGTGCAGTGGCATGATCTCGGCTCACTGCAACCTCTGCCTCCCGGGTTCAAACGATTCTCCTACCTCAGCCTCCCGAGTAGCTGGGACTAGAGGTGCCCGCCACCACGCCCGGCTAATTTATTTAATTTTAGAAGAGACTGGGTTCACCATCTTGGCCAGGCTGCTCTCGAACTCCTGACCTCGTGACCCACCTGCCTCAGCCTCCCAAAGTGCTGGGATTACAGGCGTGAGCCACCACCCCGGCCGTTTTTGTTTTAAAAACTACAGACAAGCTGGGTGCAGTGGCTCAAGCCTGTAATGGCT
>NC_000020.11:29452178-29538733 GCF_000001405.40 Homo sapiens | reverse complement strand
CACCAGTTCACAGTACAAAGTAACTCCTTGCTTGTAGAAAACATTATTATTATCATTATTATTTTTGATATGGAATTTGACTCTTGTAGCCCAGACTGGAGTGCGATGTTGTGATCTCGGCTCACTGTAACCTCTGCCTCCCAGGTTCAAAGGATTCTCCTGCCTCAGCCTCTCAAGCAGCTGGGATTACCCGTGCGCACCACTATGGCCTGCTAATTTTTTGTATTTTTGTAGAGACGGGGATTCACCATGTTGGCCAGGCTGGTCTCAAACTCCTGACCTCAGATGATCCACTTGCCTCAACCTTCCAAAGTGTTGGGATTACAGGCAGGAGCCATCACCCCCAGACTAGAAAACATTATTCAATAACAAACAGTAGCAGTATGCTTGGGGGTTTTAGGATTGATTATTTTCAAATCTCTAGAAAAGCTCAATGCATTACCTTAGGCTATAATCTCAGGGCAGAGTCTCATCTGTTAATGGGGGGCTGGTCTAAGGGTCCTTCCAGCTCTCAGATTAATGGTTTCCCATGTTGAACTGCTCCATGTCACCCACCCATCTTCGGTTTTGTTTGTTTTTACAGAGATGAGGTCTCACTATATTGCCCAGGCTGGTATTGAACTCCTGGCCTTAAGCGATCCTCCTGCCTTGGCCTCCCAAAGTGCTGGAGTTACAGATGTGAGCCTCTGTGCTCAGCCCATCCTTGGCTGTTCAAGTGTAGAGGTAAGTAGTAGATGCCAAGTTTACCTCCAGGCCAGAAGGGGCTGATGCCCCAGGGCAGAATCATAACCCTAACCAGGCCTCCCACTGCATGAAGACATTATGTTCTGAAGCTTAAACCTGGACAAAGGTCTGACCAGTAGCACTGTGTTCATGAATATCAGGTCAAAAATTTAAAACTGTGACTATCCAGAAGAACCTGGTAGATGTATGTGCAGTCCACAGTCCAATGGTCAGCCTTGATAACAAACCACCTGTACTTTCTTTTTATCATGGAGTCTTTGACGTAAAAATTGATGACACTTTCTTGCTTCTGATGTGCTTCCCTTTCTTCTTCATTTTCCATAAGTAGTTTCCTCCATCCCGCCTCCCAACAGGCCACAGTCAATTCAGGACATTTTAACCATGAAAATGAGTCTCCATAACACGAATTTAGAGGCCAGACAGGGTGGATCACGCCTGTAATCCCAGCATTCTGTGAGGCTGAAGTGGGGGAATGGCTTGAACTTAGGAGCTTCAGACCAGCCTGGGCAACATGGTGAAACCCTGTCTCTAACAAAAAATAAATAAATAAATAAAAATAAGCCATGTATGGTGGTGCATGCTACTAGTCCCAGCTACTCAGGAGGCTGAGGTGGGAGGATTGTGGGGTCAAGGAGGTCAAGTATGGAGTGGGCCAAGATCATGCCACTGCAATCCAGCCTGGGTAATGGAGTGAGACCTTATATCAAGAAAAAGAAAAAGATTTAAAGGACAGGCTGACTTTCTTGTTACAAGCCAATGCTCATTTGCTATTCCATAAATCCTAGGGCACCTCTTAAGAATTATGCTAAATCTACACTACCCGTGCTCTATAAATGGAACAACAACACTTGGATGACATCAGAGCTGTTTACCGCATGGGTTACTGAGTATTTTAATCCCACTGTTGAGACCTACAGCTCAGAAAAAAGATTCACTTCAAATACTTCAGCTTTTTGACAATGTACCTGGTAACTAAAGAGCTCTAATGGAGATGTACAGGGAAACACATGCTGGTTTCATGCCTGCCAACACAACATCTATTCTGTAGTCCATGGATTGCGGCATCATTTTGACTTTCAAGACTTATTATTTGAGAAATATATTTGTCCCGGGAACAAATCTCCTCACAACATACCTAAGAAAGAGATATATGTACAGAAAAGGAAGAACAGTAAAATATCACTTCATTACTATCAGAGATTTTCCCCAAACACAGAGAAAGCTCTACGGAACTGAGCTTAAGTCAGAACTCTGTTATTTACTTGGTCTAATGCCAAAGCAGGCCAGAGACCCCTTTCACCTTCTTCTCTTTAATCCCAAACCCATGTCTCGCTTTGATCTAAGAAAGAGCCAAACGCCCAGGAGGTGCCAGGGTAGAGAAAAGCAGCCAGCCAGAGAGTGGCCTCCATGCCAGGGGAGTGTGTCTGAGCTTTGTTTTATTTTTCTTATTTGTCTGTAGTTGTGTGATTGGTAGAAGAGAGTAGATATGAAGTCTACTGACACAGGATTGGTCTTCAGGCATGTCTTACCAAGCATTTGGGGGAACAGAGGGGTTCCACAAATAAGAGAGCATTGATCAGACTTTCTTCTAAAAGGAGCAGCCACAAGCTACCTTAACTCTCCAACTTGCCCATTAATCTTCACCCAGAGTTAGGAAGATTTCACCATTAGCTGTGGCCCATAAAAGATCCTTAAGCTTGACCAACCACAGAGGTCCATCTCCTTGAGGAGGAAGTGAAAGGGGTATGGACAGAAGCTGTGAGTTTTCTGTCCTCCGCCGGCCCCCAGCTGTGTCTTCTACTTCTTGTACAAGGTCGTCTCCAAATGATGTTTTCTGGCTGACAATGCCACAGAACTGATCCTTATCTCACTATGGAAATGAAAGATTTCAAAGAATTTGTTGCCTGAAATGTGGTGCCCTAATCACATATTAATAAAGCTGCTATCCAGAAAGAAGGTAGATTTCAAAAGAAAGGCTGTTAGCATTCTCAGGGACCTAAAAAGTACATATTGTAGAACAATGGTAAATAGATCTTGGAATCAGGTAGACTTTAATTCAAATCCCAGCTATGCCACTTATTAACTTATGTGACATAGGGAAAGCCTCTCAAATTTAGATTTGCAAAATCAGAATAATATAAGTAGCCAACAAATAGGGTTTAATGGAGGTAATAATGAAGGTGATTAAGATGATAAAATTAAATAGTGAATATAAAATGCTTAGCATTTAATAAATTTATTGTATGATTTCAAAGCACATGCTTTTACCTACAGTGCTATAAAGCTGCTTGCAATCGTCAAAGCTAATAGAAGCTGTCGTCAGAGCTAATAGAAGCCTTGTATATGTAATTATTTAAGAATTCTGTAAATATACACAATAGGGTAGGAATGAGAAAATCTTTAGAAGAAATATTCAAGAATGTTTGATTTCTAGCAAATCCAGATAGACAGTTTTGGCAACAACCAAGTCATAATTTTGAGTCTTGTTATAGGAGCTAGAATTTTATTCAAGGGACAACTGATTTGATTAGATTAGATGCTGTGCACTGCATGTTTGCATCAACAAATGCACATGTTGAAACTCTAACAGTAGAATGGCATTAGAAGGAGGACCTTTGGGAAGTAATTTGGTTTTGATGAGGATGGAGTTCCCACAATGGGGTTAGCATCCTAATAAGAAGAGCAGGAGACTACAGCCCTCTTCTCTCAGCCATGTGAAGATACAACAAGAACACCTGCAAACCAGTAAGAGGGCCTTCACCAGACACTGGCTCTGCTGGCCCAGATTTTAATCTTTGAATTCCCACAACTGTGAGAAACAAGTATATGCTGTTTAAGCCACTCAGTCTACAGTTGTTTGTAGCAGCAGCCTGAGCAGACAAAGACATAGGGTTCCTTTTATTTTCAGAATTCAGTTTAGCTGTAATCACCTACCATCCTGAGATGCTGTTTCCTCCCTCCTCCCTTGAAATATAAGCTCTGGGACTATAGCTTCATGGACAAATTCTGAAGAATTTGTCTCTGCTTTTGTGGGAGGCTAACCTAACCAATCAAGGAATGTTTGCTCAATGAAATGAAACATCTTAATGCAGCTCGCCAGCCAATGTCTGCAGAGCACACCTCATGGGTTCTGGCTGGCTTGGATTTCTGAGACTACTTCATCCTACTCATCAGACTGTGGACTCAGATTCAGCCAGGAAGCCCAGATTCTAGCATCACTTTTGCCCTTGGAATACAAATGCACGTCCTGCTTCACTGAACATGAAACTCTGAATATTTGGCCATTATTCTGGCAATTGTTCTCTCTCCCTGTGCCAATTGCCAATCAACCCAACTCCCAGGCAGCCTTGACAGTTATGTCTGCTCGGCCTGCTGTAGCAGCCAATGACTTAGTAAAAGTCAGAACATTGATCTGCTAGTTCCCAGTCCAGGATTTCCCCATAACTCGTCCATGTATATATTAAACAACTAGGCTTGCTTTTAAAATTCTTTTTCATTTAGCCTCTTCTTAGAACTTATCATTTTGAGAATCCTGACCTGCCAATATTCCATAACCTTTCTGAAAGTGACACAGCAAATACGATGCATGCACACTGCTAACTGCAGCTGATTTCATTTTCCATCATCTATAAAGCACATAAGGTAATTTCTAAACCAGCAGTAAGATCTATTTATAAAGAATGCTGATTTGTTTTCTGCATTTTCCAACACAAAGCTTCAATTTATTTCCTTACCATAAAAAACCATTACTTTTTAAAACAATCATAGTTAGTATATTTTATTAATGTTTTAATTTTGTAAAGTCCAACTTGCAAATTGGAGTGTAAATAGCTTTCTTAAAATGGAAGGAACTGTGTTAGACCCACTATGCTGATTGATGATTTCACTGTGCTTCAAAGCAGATGATTTCACAGTCATTGGGTATATAACATAATGAGTTTTTATAAAGCAATTGATGTCATTAAAAATATAATTATAATAAATAAAATTATAGGGAAAAGGAAATCTTCATTCTGACAATGCCAAATTTTTTAACTAAGTCATTGCTAAAAGATTATGTTTCTACATGAAAAATTTTACACATTCTTTCTATGAAATAAACCTGATAACACCTTGAAAACTTAATAGTTATGGAAAAGGAACTACTGTGATTTTTTTTAGAGAATGTCATGTTCTTGATGTTCTCAAGTGAGCTGTCTCATTTTATTAGAAGGGAAACAGCAGCCCCTTGTGGACAAAAAAAGAAAGTGAATGAATTTTTAGGACCCGGTGCAGTGGTTCAGGCCTGTAATCCCAGCACTTTGGGACACCTGGGCGGAGGGTAACTTGAGCCCAAGAGTTCAAGACCAGCCTGGGCAACACAGTGACACGCCGATCTTTACCAAAAATTGAAAAATTCTCTGGGCTTGGTGGCTCATACCTCAGAAGCCAGCTACTTGGAAGTCTGAGGTGGGAAGATCTCTTAAGCCCAGGAGGTCAAGGCTGCAGTGAGTGTGATCATACCACTGCATTCCAGCCTGGGTGACACAGCAAGACCCTATTTCAAAAAAATTATATTTATGTAGCACTTTCTACAAGGAATATAGTATCATGTTTGTATTTAAATGACATCAGGACTAGCATGGTGGCTTACACCTGTAATCTCAGCTCCTCAGACGGCGGAAGGCGGGAGGATCGCTTGAGGCCAGGAGTTGGAAGGCCAGCCTGGGCAGCATAATGAAACCCCCATTTCTACAAAAATAATAATAGTAATCAAAAGCTAGGCGTGCTGGCATACACCTGCAGACCTAGCTACTGTGGAGGCTGAGTGGAAGGATCACTTTGAGCCCAGGAGTTTGATTGTATTGTGTATTGTGAGCTACGCTCGAGCCACTCCACTCCAGACAACACGGCAAGACCCAGTCTCTAAAGAAAATAAAGGGACATCAGAGCATTGTTTATAGAGATTTATAAATGATCCCAAAATGTCTTCAGGGAGATAAATCATCTAAATATAGCTATATCAACTCTTCCTAAATTCCAAATTTGGGTGGGAAAAATAAATGAGATAGAAGACTTCTTGAAATGTATCAAGACTCAGGAAGACAAAACAAAAACTTTCATTAGGCAATATCAAGAATGTTCATTAATTTCTAATTTATAATACGATCATCTAAAGAGGAAATCCCAGCAACAAGAGGACAAAGGACAGGGAAAAGAAATGAAAACAACGACCATACTTTCTCCACATCCAATCTCTTCTCTACCACCTCTCAGCAAGAACTCCCACAGCCAATCACTGCTTTCTCTTGCGGACTTACCCTCTACTCTGTGAAGACATGAGCCAGAGAACCCCGAGAAGCCCCTGAGTCCCTTCCAGGGGCTCTGCAAATTCAAAAGTCTTTTCATAAAAATACACAGGTTTTGTTTACATTTTCCACTTTCATTCTCTCACAAGTATAACTGGAGTTTCCCAGAGGCTACCTGACACGGGATGTCACAAGAAATTAAACATAGAAGCAGAAAGGAGAACCAAGTTTTCTTCTATTAAACCAGACATTAAAGACATACCTAAAAATATAAAACAATGTCACTGTTCTCACCAACTTTACTGCTTAAAAATGATAATTTTAAGTAAAAATGTGATTTACATAAACATATAAGTATATTTTTTTTAAATTTCTCAGTTTTAATGTTTAATATGATAAATATAGATAGACATAATCCAAATAAATAAAAGCTCTTTGAGGTCCTCAATAACTTTTAAAAATGTTAAGTGTTCCTGAAACCAACAAGTTTGAGGACTGATGTGCTAAAGCTCATAACCTCTGATGTAGCTTCCACCCAGGTCATTTCTTAAATACTTGATCAATCATTTTCCATGTCCCTCACCCTATCCTTTTTGCAAAATTCCATTTTCCTACTCCAGCCCTCCCTGTAATGAGAAACTTCCCAGGTTGTAGACATGATTTACTAAACCTTTCTTAACAGCTGTATCATGATAACATGACATATACAAATTGTATAAATTTAAGGTAACTTAATGTTTTGATATTTCTATACTTTTGGGGATTTTGTTTTTCTTTTTCTTTTTTTAATTATACTTTAAGTTTTAGGGTACATGCGCACATTGTGCAGGTTAGTTACATATGTATACATGTGCCATGCTGGTGCGCTGCACCCACTAACTCATCATCTAGCATTAGGTATATCTCCCAATGCTATCCCTCCCCCCTCCCCCCACCCCACAACAGTCCACAGAGTGTGATGTTCCCCTTCCTGTGTCCATGTGATCTCATTGTTCAATTCCCACCTATGAGTGAGAATATGCGTGTTTGGTTTTTTGTTCTTGTGATAGTTTACTGAGAATGATGATTTCCAATTTCATCCATGTCCCTACAAAGGACATGAATTTATCATTTTTTATGGCTGCATAGTATTCCATGGTGTATATGTGCCACATTTTCTTAATCCAGTCTATCATTGTTGGACATTTGGGTTGGTTCCAAGTCTTTGCTATTGTGAATAATGCCACAATAAACATACTTGTGCATGTGTCTTTATAGCAGCATGATTTATAGTCCTTCGGGTATATACCCAGTAATGGGATGGCTGGGTCAAATGGTATTTCTAGTTCTAGATCCCTGAGGAATCGCCACACTGACTTCCACAATGGTTGAACTAGTTTACAGTCCCACCAACAGTGTAAAAGTGTTCCTATTTGCCCACATCCTCTCCAGCACCTGTTGTTTCCTGACTTTTAATGATTGCCATTCTAACTGGTGTGAGATGGTATCTCATTGTGGTTTTGATTTGCATTTCTCTGATGGCCAGAGATGATGAGCATTTTTTCATGTGTTTTTTGGCTGCATAAATGTCTTCTTTTGAGAAGTGTCTGTTTATATCCTTTGCCCACTTTTTGATGGGGTTGTTTGTTTTTTTTTTTTGTAAATTTGTTTGAGTTCATTGTAGATTCTGGATATTAGCCCTTTGTCAGATGAGTAGGTTGAGAAAATTTTCTCCCATTTTGTAGGTTGCCTGTTCACTCTGATGGTAGTTTCTTTTGCTGTGCAGAAACTCTTTAGTTTAATTAGATCCCATTTGTCAATTTTGGCTTTTGTTGCCATTGGTTTTGGTGTTTTCGACATGAAGTCCTTGCCCATGCCTATGCCCTGAATGGTAATGCCTAGGTTTTCTCCTAGGGTTTTTATGGTTTTAGGTCTAACATTTAAGTCTTTAATCCATCTTGAATTGATTTTTGTATAAGGTGTAAGGAAGGGATCCAGTTTCAGCTTTCTACATATGGCTAGCCAGTTTTCCCAGCACCATTTATTAAATAGGGAATCCTTTCCCCATTGCTTGTTTTTCTCAGGTTTGTCAAAGATCAGACAATTGTAGATATGTGGCGTTATTTCTGAGGGCTCTGTTCTGTCCCATAGATCTATATCTCTGTTTTGGTACCAGTACCATGCTGTTTTGGTTACTGTAGCCTTGCGGTATAGTTTCAAGTCAGGTAATGTGATGCCTCCAGCTTTGTTCTTCTCGCTTAGGATTGACTTGGTGATATGGGCTCCTTTTTGGTTCCATATGAACTTTAAAGTAGTTTTTTCCAATTCTGTGAAGAAAGGCATTGGTAGCTTGATGGGGATGGCATTGAATCTGTAAATTACCTTGGGCAGTATGGCCATTTTCACAATATTGATTCTTCCTACCCATGAGCATGGAATGTTCTTTCATTTGTTTGTATCTTCTTTTATTTCCTTGAGCAGTGGTTTGTAGTTATCCTTGAAGAGGTCCTTCACATCCCTTGTAATTTGGATTCCTAGGTATTTTATTCTCTTTGAAGCAATTGTGAATGGGAGTTCACTCATGATTTGGCTCTCTGTTTGTCTGTTGTTAGTGTATAAGAATGCTTGTGATTTTTGTACATTGATTTTGTATCCTGAGACTTTGCTGAAGTTGCTTATCAGCTTAAGGAGATTTTGGGCTGAGACAATGGGGTTTTCTAGATATTCAATCATGTCATCTGCAAACAGGGACAATTTGACTTCCTCTTTTCCTAATTGAATACCCTTTATTCCCTTCTCCTGCCTGATTGCCCTGGCCAGAAGTTCCAACACTATGTTGAATAGGAGTGGTGAGAGAGGGCATCCCTGTCTTGTGCCAGTTTTCAAAGGGAATGCTTCCAGTTTTTGCCCATTCAGTATGATATTGGCTGTGGGTTTGTCATAGATAGCTCTGATTAATATGAGATATGTCCCATCAATACCTAATTTATTGAGAGTTTTTAGCATGAAGTGTTGTTGAATTTTGTCAAAGGCCTTTTCTGCATCTATTGAGATAATCGTGTGGTTTTTGTCTTTGGCTCTGTTTATATGCTGGATTACATTTATTGATTTGGGTATATTGAACCAGCCTTGCATTCCAGGGATGAAATCCACTTGATCATGATGGATTAGCTTTTTGATGTGCTGCTGGATTCTGTTTGTCAGTGTTTTATTGAGGACTTTTGCATCAATGTTCATCAAGGATATAGGTCTAAAATTCTCTTTTTGGTTGTGTCTCTGCCCGGCTTTGGTATCAGAATGATGCTGACCTCATAAAATGAGTTAGGGAGGATTCCCTCTTTTTCTATTGATTGGAATAGTTTCAGAAGGAATGGTACCAGTTCCTCCTTGTACCTCTGGTAGAATTCGGTGTGAATCCATCTGGTCCTGGACTCTTTTTGGTTGGTAAGCTATTGATTATTGCCACAATTTCAGATCCTGTTATTGGTCTATTCAGAGATTCAACTTCTTCCTGGTTTAGTCTTGGGAGAGTGAATGAGTCCAGGAATTTATCCATTTCTTCTAGATTTTCTAGTTTATTTGCGTAGAGGTGTTTGTAGTATTCTCTGATGGTAGTTTGTATTTCTGTGGAATCAGTGGTGATATCCCCTTTATCATTTTTTATTGCATCTATTTGATTCTTCTCTCTTTTTTTCTTTATTAGTCTTGCTAGCAGTCTATCAATTTTGTTGATCCTTTCAAAAAACCAGCTCCTGGATTCATTAATTTTTTGAAGGGTTTTTTGTGTCTCTATTTCCTTCAGTTCTGCTCTGATTTTAGTTATTTCTTGCCTTCTGCTAGCTTTTGAATGTGTTTGCTCTTGCTTTTCTAGTTCTTTTAATCGTGATGTTAGGTTGTCAATTTTGGATCTTTCCTGCTTTCTCTTGTGGGCATTAAGTGCTATAAATTTCCCTCTACACACTGCTTTGAATGCGTCCCAGAGATTCTGGTATGTTGTGTCTTTGTTCTCGTTGGTTTCAAAGAACATCTTTATTTCTGCCTTCATTTCGTTATGTACCCAGTAGTCATTCAGGAGCAGGTTGTTCAGTTTCCATGTAGTTGAGCGGTTTTGAGTGAGATTCTTAATCTTGAGTTCTAGTTTGATTGCACTGTGGTCTGAGAGATAGTTTGTTATAATTTCTGTTCTTTTACATTTGCTGAGGAGAGGTTTACTTCCAAGTATGTGGTCAATTTTGGAATAGGTGTGGTGTGGTGCTGAAAAAAATGTATATTCTGTTGATTTGGGGTGGAGAGTTCTGTAGATATCTATTAGGTCCCCTTGGTGCAGAACTGAGTTCAATTCCTGGGTGTCCTTGTTGACTTTCTGTCTCGTTGATCTGTCTAATGTTGACAGTGGGGTGTTAAAGTCTCCCATTATTAATGTGTGGGAGTCTAAGTCTCTTTGTAGGTCACTCAGGACTTGCTTTATGAATCTGGGTGTTCCTGTATTGGGTCCATATGTATTTAGAATAGTTAGCTCTTCTTGTTGAATTGATCCCTTTACCATTATGTAATGGCCTTCTTTGTCTCTTTTGATCTTTGTTGGTTTAAAGTCTGTTTTATCAGAGACTAGGATTGCAACCCCTGCCTTTTTTTGTTTTCCATTTGCTTGGTAGATCTTCCTCCATCCTTTTATTTTGAGTCTATGTGTGTCTCTGCAGGTGAGATGGGTTTCCTGAATACAGCACACTGATGGGTCTTGACTCTCTATCCAATTTGCCAGTCTGTGTCTTTTAATTGGAGCATTTAGTCCATTTACATTTAAATTTAATATTGTTATGTGTGACTTTGATCCTGTCATTATGATGTTAGCTGGTTATTTTACTCATTAGTTGAAGCAGTTTCTTCCTAGTCTCGATGGTCTTTACATTTTGGCATGATTTTGCAGCAGCTGGTACCGGTTGTTCCTTTCCATGTTTAGTGCTTCCTTCGGGAGCTCTTTTAGGGCAGGCCTGGTGGTGACAAAATCTCTCAGCATTTGCTTGTCTGTAAAGGATTTTATTTCTCCTTCACTTATGAAGCTTAGTTTGGCTGGATATGAAATTCTGGGTTGAAAATTCTTTTCTTTAAGATTGTTGAATATTGGCCCCCACTCTCCTCTGGCTTGTAGGGTTTCTGCCTAAAGATCTGCTGTTAGTCTGATGGGCTTCCCTTTGAGGGTAACCCGACCTTTCTCTCTGGCTGCCGTTAACATTTTTTCCTTCATTTCAACTTTGGTGAATCTGACAATTATGTGTCTTGGAGTTGCTCTTCTCGAGGAGTATCTTTGTGGCATTCTCTGTATTTCCTGAATCTGAACGTTGGCCTGCCTTGCTAGATTGGGGAAGTTCTCCTGGATAATATCCTGCAGAGTGTTTTCCAACTTGGTCCCATTCTCCCCATCACTTTCAGGTACACCAATCAGACGTAGGTTTGGTCTTTTCACATAGTCCCATATTTCTTGGAGGCTTTGCTCATTTCTTTTTATTCTTTTTTCTCTAAACTTCCCTTCTCACTTCATTTCATTCATTTCATCTTCCATTGCTGATACCCTTTCTTTCAGATGATCACATCAGCTCCTGAGGCTTCTGCATTCTTCAGGTAGTTCTTGAGCCTTGGTTTTCAGCTCCTTCAGCTCCTTTAAGCACTTCCTTCTGTATTGATTATTCTAGTTATACATTCTTCTAAATTTTTTTTCAAAGTTTTCAACTTCTTTGCCTTTGGTTTGAATGTCCTCCCGTAGCTCAGAGTAATTTGATCGTCTGAAGCCTTCTTCTCTCCGCTCATCAGAATCATTCTCCATCCACCTTTGTTCTGTTGCTGGTGAGGAACTGCATTCCTTTGCAGGAGGAGAGGTGCTCTGCTTTTTAGAGTTTCCAGTTTTTCTGTTCTGTTTTTTCCCCATCTTTGTGGTTTTATATCTACTTTTGGTCTTTTATGATGGTGATGTACCGATGGGTTTTTGGTGTGGATGTCCTTTCTGTTTGTTAGTTTTCCTTCTAACAGACAGGACCCTCAGCTTCAGGTATGTTGGAGTACCCTGCCGTGTGAGGTGTCAGTGTGCCCCTGCTGGGGCTGCCTCCCAGTTAAGCTGCTTGGGGGTCAGGGGTCAGGGACCCACTTGAGGAGGCAGTCTGCCCATTCTCAGATCTCCAGCTGTGTGCTGGGAGAACCACTGTTCTCTTCAAAGCTGTCAGACAGGGATATTTAAGTCTGCAGAGGTTACTGCTGTCTTTTTGTTTGTCTGTCCCCTGCCCCCAGAGGTGGAGCCTACAGAGGCAGGCAGGCCTCCTTGAGCTGTGGTGGGCTCCACCCTGTTCGAGTTCCCCGGCTGCTTTGTTTACCTAAGCAAGCCTGGGCCATGGTGGGCGCCCCTCCCCCAGCCTCGCTGCTGCCTTGCAGTTTGATCTCAGACTGCTGTGCTAGCAATCAGTGAGACTCTGTGGGCGTAGGACCCTCCAAGCCAGGTGTGGGATATAATCTCGTGGTGTGCCGTTTTTTAAGTCCGTCGGAAAAGCGCAGTATTAGGGTGGGAGTCACCGTATTTTCCAGGTGCCCTCAGTCACCCCTTTCTTTAACTAGGAAAGGGAACTCCCTGACCCTTGTGCTTCCTGAGTGAGGCAATGCCTCGCCCTGCTTCCGCTCACGCACGGTGCACGCACCCACTGTCTGGCACTCCTTAGTGAGATGAACCCAGTACCTCAGATGGAAATGCAGAAATCACCCGTCTTCTGCGTCGCTCACGCTGGGAGCTGTAGACCGGAGCTGTTCTTATTTGGCCATCTTGGCTCCTCCCCCCATTCTATACTTTTTGAAAGGATCACCACAATCAAGCAAATTAGCATATTATCTCTACATATTTACCATTGGGTGTGTGTTGACAGTAATTAATTTATGATCTAGTCCTTTAGCAGAACACAAGAATACAATACAGTGTTGTTCCATGTTGTACATTATATCTCCAGAAATTATTATAACTTGAACATTGCACAATTTAATTAACATCACCCCATTTCCCCTCCCTGAGCCCCTGGCAAACACTGTCCTGTTCTCTGTTTTTAAGAATTTGACTCTTGTAGATTCCACATGTAAGTGAAAACTTGAAGTAGTTGTCTCTGTGTCTTGCATTTTTGCTTGGTGCAATATCTTCCAGCTCCATCCATGTTTTCACAAATAGAAGGATTTCCTTCTTTTTTAAGGTTGTATAATATTTCATTTTATGTATACATGTCACATTTTCTTTACCCATTCATCTGTTCCTCTGCCAAAGGACATTTAGGTTATTTTCATATTTTGGTCATTGTGTGTCGTGCTGCAATGAACAGGGGATGACAGACACCTCTCTAAGACTCTTATGTCAATTTCACTGGACATATATCCAGAAGTGAAATTGTTGGATTATGTGGTAGTTCTTTTTTTTATTTTTGAAACCGGGTCTCACTCTGTCATCCAGGGTAAAGTCCAGTGGCAAGATAATAGCTCATTGCAGCCTTGAACTCCTGGGCTCAAGCAATCCTCCTACCTCAGCCTCCTGAGTAGCTGGGACTACAGGTGTACAACACCATGTCTGGCTAATTTTAATTTTTTTTCTGAGATGGGGTCTTGCTATGTTACCTAGGCTGGTCTGGAGCTCCTGGCCTCCTGCCTTGGCTTCCCAAAATCCTGGGATTACAGGTGTGAGCCATTACACCAGGCCAGTGCTATTTTCCATTTTTTTTGGAGGAAACTCGATACTGTTTTCTATGTTTTACTAATTTGCATTCCCATCAATAGTGTGTAATAGTTTCCTTTTCTCCACATTCTTACCAACACTTATCTCTTCTCTTTTTGATAATAGCCATTTTAACAGGTGTGACATGATAGCTCATTGTGGTTTTGATTTGCATTACTCTGAAGTTTAGAGATGTTGAGCACATTTTCTTATACCTGTTAGCCATTTGAATTTCTTCTTTTGAGATGTATTTATTTAGGTTCTTTGCCTTAAAATAAAATTAGGTTATTTATAATTTTGGAATGGATGTGTGTGTGTCCTTCTTATTTTTTGAACTCCTTATAAGAGATATGGTTTGCAGACATTTTCCCCATTTCATAGGTGGCCTTATCATTTCATTAGTTGTTTTCTTTGCTGTGCAGAAGCTTTTTAGTTCGATGTAATTCATTTATCTATTTTTCCTTTGTTGCCTGTGCTTTTGGCATCATATCTAAACAAATTATTGCCAAGACCAATGTCAAGAAGGTTTTCTCCTGTCTTCTTCCAGGAGTTTTGTGGTTTCAGTGATTACATTTAAACGTTTAATCCATTTTGAGTTAATTTTTACATAAGGCGTGAGCTAGGGATCCGATTTCATTCTTTTACATGTAGACATCCAGCTTTCCTAACACCATTTGTTCAAGAGCATATCCTCTGCCTATAGTCTCTCCTTGTCACCTTCCAGGGTGATCAATTGCTGCAAATGTGTGGGTTATGCCTAGGTTCTCTATTTTGTTTCACTGGTTTATGTGTCTGTTTTTATGCCAGTACCACAGTGTTTTTCTTTCTACAGCTTTGTAATTTAATTTGAAGTCAGGAAGTGTGATACCTGTAGCTTTGTTCTTGCTCAAAATACCTTCAGCCACTCAGGGATTTTTGTGATTCTATATGAATTTTAGGATTTTTTTTTCTATTTCTGTGAGTACCATTGGAATTTTGATATGGATTACATTAAATGTGTAGATTGCTTTGAGTAATATGGACACTTTAATAATACAATACTAACTCTTTCAATCCATGGGTTGTCTTTCAATTTACTTTGGTTTAAATTTCTGTCATCAATCTTTCATAATTTGTAGTGTTTAAGTCTTTCACTTCTTCGGTCAGTTAGTTCCAAAGTAGTTTATTTGACACTATTTTTTAAATTTCCCTTTCAGACAATGCATTGTTAGTGTTTAGAAATAGCAATGATTTTTGTATGTCAATTATGTATCCTACAACTTTAGTATATTTATTATATAGTCAGTCCTTCATATCAATGGGTTCTGCAACCATTAACTCAATCAACCATGAACCTAACTTGTACATATTTTCCATCTGTGGTTGTTTGAATCCACAGATGTGGACCCATGGATACATAGGGCCAACTGTACACGATTTTATGTGAGGGAGTTGATCATCACAGATTTTGTTATCTGAGGGGGTCCTGAAACAAATCCCCAGCAGATATGAAAGACTGACTGCATTATTTCTAACCATTTTCTGTGGAGTCTTTAGAGTTTTTAATGTATAATAATCATGTCTTCTGTTAACAGAGGTAACTATATCCTTCCTTTCAATTTTGATGCCTTTTTTTTTCTCTTGCCTGATTGCTCTGGCTAGGACTTCCAGTACTATGTTGAATAGGAGTGATGAGAGTAGACATCCCTGTCTTGTTCCAGATATTAAAGAAAAAGCTTTCAGTTTTTCCCCATTGATTATAATATTAGATATAGGTTTTTCATATACAGCCTTTATAGTGTTGAGGTAAGTTTCTTGTATACTTATTTTGTTGAGAGTTTTATCATGAAAGTATATTGAATTTTGTCAAATGTGTTTTCTGCATCTATTGGAATGTTATTTTTGTCTTTCATTCTGTTAATGTGGTATATCACATTTTAATTTTTACACATTGAAACATCCTTGTACCGCATAGATAAATTCCAATTGGTCATGGTGTATGACCTTTTCAATGTGCTTTTGAATTCAGTTTGCTAGTTTGTATTTTATTGAGAATTTTTGCATCTATATTCATTAAGGATACTGGTCTGTAATTATTTTTTATTGTGTTGTCTTCGTCTAGCTTTTAAGTCATGGTAACATCGGCCTCATGAAATGAGTTTGAGAGTATTCTCTCTTTTATTTTTTCTGAAGAGTTTAAGAATTTTTGGTGTTAGTTCTTCTTTGAATGTTTGGTAGAAGTTGCCCATGAAAGCGTCTGCACCTGGGCTTTTCTTTGTTGGGAAATTTTTGATTACTGATTAAATCTCTATGCTTGCTTTTGGTCTGTTCTATTTCTTTTTTGTTCCACCGTGGTAGATTGCATCTTTCTAAGAATTTATCCATTTCTTCTAGGTTATCCAATTTATTGGCATATAATTGCTTAATTTTCCTTTATAATCATTTGTATTCTGTACATTTGTTATAATGTCTCCATTTTCATTTCTGATTATATTTACTTGAGTTTCTCTTTTTTTCTTAGTGTAGCTAAGGGTTTGTTATTTTTGTTTGTATTTCCAAAAATTCAACTCTAGTTTTCTTGATTTTTCTATTGTTTTTTATTTTATAGTTATTTTATTTATATTCTAATCTTTATTATTTACTTCATTATGCTAACTTTGGGTTTAGTTAGTTTTTCTTTTTCTAATTGTTTATTTGCAAAGTTAGGTTGTTCGAGTGAGATCTTTCTTATTTTTTAATGTAGGTATTTATCACTGTAACGTTTTCCTCTTAGCACTTTTTTGCTGCATCCTGTAAGTTTTGTTGAGTTGTATGTTCATTTTTGTTTGTCTCAAGATATTTTTAAAATTCCCTTTTGATATCTTCTTTTACCCAATGGTTGTTCAAGAGTGTGTAGTTTAGTTTCTGCATTTTTGTAAATGTTTCTGTTTTCTTTGTTTTTGACTTCAAATTTTATTCCATTGTGGTCTGAGAAGATACTTGGCATTATATCAAACTTCTTAAATTTGTAGGATGCCTTGTGACCTAAGATTTGATCTATCTCAGAGAATATTCTGTGTTCACTTGAGAAGAATGTATATTCTGCTGCTGTTGGATGGAAAGTTCTGTATATATCAGTGCTTAATCTAATGTGCTGTTCAAGTCAGCTGTTTCCTCTTTTTTTATTCCTGCCTAGATGTTCTATCCATTATTGAATTTGGGGTACTGAAGTTGCCTACTATTATTTTAGTGTTACTGATTTCTCCCCTTAGCTTTGTTGATATTAACTTTGTATATTTAGGTGTTCTAATGTTGGGTGGATATATATTTACAACCTTCCCATTGAAGTGAACTTTTATCATTATATAATGACCTTCTTAGTCTCTAGTGACAGTTTTTGATTTCAAGTCTAATTTTTCTGATCTAAGTATAGATTCCCTTGCTCTTTTTTGGTTACCATTTGCATAGAGTATCTTTTCCCATCCCTTCACTTTGAGCCTTTATGTATCTTTATATCTAAAGTGACTCCCTTATAAATATGTACTGATGAGTATCTTTTATGCATTGTGCCACTCTATGTCTTTTAATTAGATAGTTTAATCCTTTCACATTTAAAGTCATTGTTGATAGGTAAGGAGTAACTTGCATTTTGTTAATTGTTTTTCATATGTTTTGCAGTTCTTTTTTTTTTTTTTTTTCCTCTCTTGCTGTCTTCTTAGTTTGGTTATTTCTTGTAGTGGTTTGGTTTCATTTATTTTTCTTCACATTTTGTGCATCTCCTATAAGTTTTTAATTTGTGGTTGCAAATTTACATCTTCTATAAAAAGCTGTCTTAATGTTATCAGCTTTTTTGTAATCACTTTCTTTCTCTTCCCTCTTCAGACATATTTGCAAATACTCTGTTGTTCAAGACATGAGTAAATAGGGCTCTGGTTAGAAATTTATCAATACAAAAAAAGATCCTCTGAGTCTTTTGATAAGTTAGAAAATAATGATAGACTGCGGTAGAATGTCACGTATTTCAAGTTCTGTCATCTATGTTACTCTGAAATATATTTTCTGTGTGTATTAGTTAATGTTATATATTTATAAGGTAAATCCATAAAGCATACATTCTAGAATGTCCTAACTTAGGTCCTTAAGAGATATGCTCCTTATAGCCTTCTTTGCACTCCTGAAGTGTTAAATATTTCCATTGAAGAAGGTTGCATATGGCTTCTGAGATGAAGTCTAGACAAGTTAGGATTATTTTTTGTTCCTTTTGCCCACACGGCACCCACTGTCCCCTCCCTTTGTTATTAGCCATTATCTGATACCCTAGATGAAGCCACCTTCTGTCCTTCAGTTTTGGCGTTGGTGCTGATTTCACCCCCAGTTTCAGGAATAAGAACAGGACAGTTACTAACAAGTATGTTGTTCACTCAAGGAAGAAACCCAGCTAAGGGAGAAAGGGGGGTTGAAATCCAGCCTGCACGCTCTTCTCCAAGCCACATGCCCCGATACAGGGCTGCATCTAACTGGAGAAAGGGGAGCCATTTTCTAATACTTGCAAAGAAACTGTGTGGACAGTGGAAACCCTGTATGAGCTCGTGACACAGGCCTGGCCAATGAATAGACTTCTAATCCTGGCACAGATGAAATTAGAGATGGACATGAAATCCAAGCCTCACACCCAAAGTCAATCTCCAGTCTCTTATTGAAACTATTAGAAGTGTTTCTGTTTTTGCTTTATTCTGGGGCTATGGAACTAAGGAAATGTAAACTGGAGGAGTGATGATGGCCACATTACAGCACCAAAGGAAACCTTGTCTGAGAATAAAATCAATGGGGAAGAAAAAAGCAAGGAAGAGGAGAGGAGCCAAGTCCTGAGTCCCTACGTTCAGCCATTCTGAAGCTATACCCTGGATTTTTCCATTATACGAGTCCACAAATTAATATATATGTTTTGGCTTAGACCAGTTTGAGTTTGAATTCTATTATTTATAACCAAAGGAGTCCTACCATATTATCTTAGCCGGATTTTCATAAACACGGTATATGTTGATCAATAAACTTCCTAAATGTTTCAAGTTCACTCCAAAGAGTGAGGGGAAAAAAGAAAGAAGAGGAAGAAAATGGTTACTTATCATCCACAGTAGTCAAGGGAGCTGCAGAAGCATCAAGCAAAAGCAGCAGTTAGCTTTGTACTCCCACAAACCCTGCTCTGAAGTACTCCACCTAGTGGCCCACAGCAGAAGCTGCATTTCTAAAATCTTTAAAAAGACAGAAAAGGAATCACCACTTACCCTGGGAAACCTAACAGGGCAGAAGGCCACATAGGAATATGTCCCATTGGTTTGAGGTCGATAAGTCCATTTTCAAAGCTTCAATAATTCCAGAAACAAGAACATATTTATTTTGTTTTGATCACACAATGCCTAGTTATATTAAAAGTAAGGAGACATTCAATAAATACCTTTTATGGAAATAAAAACAGACAATTTAGGAGAAAATTAACTATCAACGCATTATTTTCAAAGGTAAAGAAAAAAGAAATTATTCTGAACACACAAAACTATTTTATCAAATATCATGGTAAATTATCATTATATACTAGGTCACTTAATAAATTTCCAGAGATGATTGGAAAGAGTTTCCACAATAGTTTTTGTTTCACCCCAGGAAGAAGTTTCACAAAAAGTTAGTTACTTATCTCCACTGTTACTAGTACCAAAATAATCCTATCATTCTGAGTCAAATTACAAATAACGTCCACACTTTTCTCCAGTGAGATCACAGGAGATGCCTAAGTGGAGTGTGTTTTAATGTGAGGGCATAATTGGTTTATATTTTTCACTGAAAATAACAAATTCTAGACAACTTAAGCAAAACAGGAATTCAATGAAAGGATATTGAATAGTTCACAAAATCATTGAAGATGCTGAAGAAGCAAGGTAAGAACTGAGGGAAACTCAGCACAGCCAAGTTCATTCAACGGAAGGAGATCTTGGGATGCCACCACTAGGATGTTGTCATTTGACACTTGTCACCATGTAGCTGGGCTCTGCTGAACCTAGGCACTTGCTGCCACATTCCTGGACCTGCATCTCTGCTCAATTTCTCAGAATCATCTCTGATTCTTTCAGGTCTTTTGCATCATTTCATCGGGTTCCAAGTTCTAATAAAGAGACATCAGTTGGCTGGGCCTAGATATGTGCCCACACGTGGGTGGCCAAGAAACTGGAAAAAGGATCATGCATTCCCTTTCAGCTTTTGTAATGGAAGGTAGGGCCTGTCCTCATATTTCGCTTGGGGTTCAAAAAACTAGGAAGGGGGTTTTGTTGAAATGAAACCCAAAACTATAGCTATCCATTTACAGCACCTTATTTGTACAGGAAGAAACCATGAGACAAAATGTATAAAAGTGCATGGGAGGTCTAAACATATGAGGGGGTTTCTGAGGACAGAAAGATCATACTTGATTGGTGCTGTGATTTCACTGTGCCTCCTCCGAGATTCAGCATTGACAATTTGATAGTGTTGAGATGGAGCCTACAGGAAGTGATGAGGCCATCAGGACTCCTACCTCAGGAATGGGTTTAGGAGCCCTCATGAAAGGGCTCCATGGAGGGAGTTCATCCCTCTTGCTCTCCTGCCTTCCACCATGTGAGGACACAGTGTTCCTTGTCTCTGGAAGATGCAGCATCAAGACACCATCTTGAACGGAGAGAACAGCCCTTATCAGACATCAGACCTGCCAACGCCTTGATCTTGGACTTCCTAGTCTCCAGAACTATGACAGATAAACGTCTGGTTTTCATAAATTGCCTAGTCTGTGTTATTTTGTTGTAAGAGCATAAATTGACTAAGACAATTGGGGATTAGAAAAAGTTTTTTGAAGTGGCATTTGAGAAGGGCTTGTTAGATAAGATCTCTACAAATAGAAATGGAGAGATGGTTTCAAATTACCCAGGTGAAAGGAATAACATAGCCATGTTCAGTATGAATGCAAAGTGGAGATGGTAAAAAGTACATATGATTCCACCACCAGTGAGAGGACAGAATTGTAATGTGGCAGCAATCTGTAAATATAATATTTATCACTCATTCACATTTATTTAGAGTCTAATGTGTTCTAGGCTCTGAAATTAAGCAAAGAAAATCTAGATATGCATAAGTACAAGACTTTGCCTTTGTGACAGTCAAAATAATGACCCCATAAAGATGTCTGGTCCCTGGAATCTGTGACCATATTACTTTACATTGGGCAAAAGGGACTTTGGAGATGTGATTAACCTTGAGTTAGGGGGATTATCCTTGATTATCTTGGGGGCCAATCTAATTGCATGCGTCTATAAAATCAGAGAATCTTTCCTAGCTACAGTCAGAATGTGATATGACTACAGAACAATGGTCACAGACATCCCACATTACTGGCTTCAAAGATGGAGGGATGGTCCCATGATCCAAGGAATAGGGACAGCATCTAAAAGTTGGAAAAGTAAATGGATTCTCTCTAGAGCCTCCAGAAAGCAATACAGCCCTGACAACAGCTTGACTTAAGCCCAGTAAGACCACAGTCAGCGGTTTGCCCTAAAGAACTATAGGGTCATAAGTCTTTGATTTAAGCCACAAAGTTGTGGTAATTTGTTATGGCAGCAATAGAAAATCAAGTTTAAGAACTTTATTATTTGGAAGATAGGCAGACCAGAAAATCCAAATTATAATATAATTCGATTAAAACCTATGGAGATTTGCGCTAGGTGTTTTAGAAAAGAATTGAGTATTAACAAGACTAACAGAAGAAATGTTCTAAAATTTACACACTAAGTACATCACATTTTTCTAATGATCACGTTGACAGAGCAACTTAGAATCCATGGTTTTAACAAACCAACAGGCTTATATACATAAATATAAAAATATTATGTATATATATAATATATAATATGTGGAATAGCCCCATGGGCACGGGCAGCCCTGGGTCAAAGGGCGGCACTGTACTAGCAGCCCACACCCCACCTCACCCGCCTACCCTGAGCTGACTTGTCTGCTAAATGTTAAATAAACCTGTCAACCTGTCTGGTTTAACTAAGAAGAGCCTGGATACAACAAGCCTGAGGGCTGTGACTGGGGGAAGAGAGAGCACAGACGGAACTCCTCCTCCTTCTGCCACTGCCCACCAACTGAAAACCACCAACTGAAGTTTGCTTAGATTCTCAGCCTACACCTTGTTCCCAACAAAACACATGCAATACTTGGGCCCCCACTACAATCTCTGGAACAAAATATTCGACGGATCTGCTTTTTGAGCTGCAACTTATCTTACTAAATTCCAAGAAGCTTATGTAAGAGAAAACCACCAGAAAATACAAGATTTTCAATGTGATCATCATTGCTACTTTTAACTAGAAATTATCCAGTAAATGTATTGTGAACCACTTTGTGACTATGCTGATTTATTTAGTCTTTCTGATCCTTGGTTTGATTATCTCAAATATATGAGTATCACCAATTTTATAAAGTTGCTCTAAAAATTAAGTGAAATAAAAATAATCCTCCTTCTCCATATATTGAACACTTACAAAATTATAGGCATTGTGTCCAGGTTTTTACATACTTACCTGATAGAAGTCTCCTGACAAACCTGTCTTTTAAATTACAAGCATTTTGCCATGATTTTTACACATGTACGTTATGGAAGCCTCGTAACAATCACATCTTTTATAGATCAGCAGACTGAGCCTCAGACGAGTTAAAAACACATTCACCATCAAATCATAATGAGGGATGGAACTGGGATTCAAATCCGGTTCTCTCTGATGCCAAAAATGGTGCAATTTAACGAGGACCAAGTTACACCCAGAACATGGAGGGATCAAAACACGTGGATTCCCTTTCCTGCCCCCTCATGTGGGAATTTCAATAGATTTCACTGCCTCAGAGCAATCCTAAACTCCCTCCTAGGTTGCCTTGCAATGGCCCCCTTATTCGTGGGGATGATTAGGAATCTGCATTTTTGGACCACAAGCATCTATAAAGAGTTGTGTTGATCAAGAAATAAAATGTACTAGGCCATAGGTTACTGTGAATTGTCTAGCTTCTCTGCAAAAAATAAAGGGGCTATTCCATGTAAAAAAATCACAGGATCCACTGAATCTGTGCAGAAAGACATAGAACTATACTGCAGGAGCATCTTACAGATAGCTGCGCCTGAAGACCAGCTGAAACACACAAAGCAAGAGCACCTCCAACGACCATGTGTGGTGGCTCTTGCCTGTCATCCCAGCAGTGTGGGACGCCAAGGTGGGTGAATCACTTGAGGCCAGGGGTTTGAGACCAGCTTGGGCAACACAGTGAGACCTTGTCCCTACCAAAAAATCATTTTTTATTATTAGAATCAAGAGGAGTACCTCTAACCCCTTTCTGTTGCTTTAGGGTAGAGAGCTCTGGTCTAGAACTCAAGTTATGAAACTGTGAGTCCCAGTGTAGCTACTTAAGTTTAAATACAAGAGCTGTCAGACATTTCCTCTACAGCAACGAAATCTGTAGCATCCATTTTGTACTTTGAAAACTTAGTTTTTGGCCAGCCTCTAGGAAGAAGAAGAGGGCCCAGAACTGGGCATATGGGTAGGGAGGGGAAAAGAGACCGGCTGGATGCAACAGTGAAAGACGAAGGGATAGAGACCCCAGGCAGAGCCAGTCCTCAGGCTTGGGGCCTGGGCCTAGGAAAGGAACTAGTTGAAGAAGGGAGGAGCCCCAGGCTGTGGATGTCTCTGGGGGAACCTTGGTTCAGCAACGGCCAGAGGAGCTCCTGAGGCCAAACGGTATCTGTCGCCTCCCTACCTTTGGGCGTCATCTGGTCGCCAATGTGCTGTAGATCATGGCTCCGGAATCAAATTGGGCTCAAATTGTGTGAGCTCCAATGCAGTGGAGTCTGGCCCTACTCCCACCTACACCTCGTGGATCTCAGAGCTGCAGGATGGCTCTGCCCACCGCACCCTAAGCTGGCCTCGCTTGGGGCTGGCATTGGGGGACAGCATGTTCTGGGCGTCTCTGCTCCTTTCTGCTGGTGCCTGTGCCTGTGCTGGCCGCCCACTCATAGATATCAAAGCCACAGGACGGCCTCGCAGAACCCCTGCCTGGGGCTGGCTTTGGTGCACATGCGACTGGTCATCGTGGTCCCCATGGGGCACCTCTGCTCTTCTCGAGGCAGCTTGGGCCTTCGCTTGCCCCCACGTCTGCAGAGCTGAGCACCTGCCCCCTCTCCCCAGGAAAGGCAACCAAATGCCACCAACTTAAGGCACCCACTGAAGGCCACCAACTGAAGGCCGGTTGCCCTGACAACCTGATGTGTCCTGCTTAGGAAGAACCAATCAGACCTTGAGTTCCTTCCACGCGGTGCCCTTCCATTTGTGACGTGGGAGTCCAGGCACTGGCTCACAAAGCCGCACCCCCCAGCGACCCCACCCCACCTTTCATTTATTGGTAACTGGTAGCAACTTTCAGGTTTCCTCACTGTGAATTATGAATATGAATTATGATGAAATTACTGTATCCTTATGTACCTCATGCACTATCTCACAGCCAAAGTCCCCTCTTCCCCCATGGCCTCTGAGTGTTTTGGAAACTACAAAGAAGATACATTTCTGCAGGTGCTTTCAGAAAAAAACGTTGCCACGATCTAAGGTTACTCTTTGATGTCAAGTCATATTTCATATGTCATACATATTCATATTTACATTCATAATTCAAAATGCACATATTCAATCAAATTAACAGGATTGAAAAGGACATTTTCTAAAATTTATACACTAAGTACATTATATTTTTCTAATGATCACTTTGATAGAGCAAATTTAGAATCTATGGTTTCAACAAATGAAGAGGCTTATGCAAGAGAAAACCACCACCTAACAAAAGATTTTCAATGTGATCATCATTGCTACTTTTCACTAGCAATTATCCAGTCAATATGTTGTGAACTGCTTTGTTACTATGGTGATTTATTTAAACTTACTGATCCTTTGATTATCTCAAAAATATGAATAATACCAATTTTATAAACTTGTTCTAAAAATTAAATGAGAGAAAAATAATCCTCCTTCTCTATATATTGAAAACCTACAAAATTAGTAACATTGTGTCCAGATTTTTACACACTTACCTTATTGAAGCCTCATCACAACGCCGTCTTTTAAATTACAGGCATTATTCCCAGATTTTTACACACTTACCTTATTTGCAAGTCTCATAACAATCCCATCTTTTATAGATGAGCAAACGGAGGCTCAGACGAGTTAAAAACACATTCACCATCAAATCATAATGAGTGAAGGAACTGGGATTCAAATCTAGTTCTCTCTGACACCAACGGTGGTGCAATGTAATGAAGACCAAGTTATATCCATCAGATGGAGGGATCAAAACATGTGGATTCCCTTTCTCTACCCTCTTACATGTGAATCTCAATGGCTTTCATTGCCTCAGAACAATACTAAACTCTCTCCCAGGTTGACTTGCAGAGGATCCCTTATTTTTGGGGACGATTAGGAATCCTCATTTTTGGACCATAGGCATCTATAAAGAGTTGTGTTGATCAAGAAATAAAATTGTCTAGGCCATAAGTTACTGTGAATTGTCTAGCTTCTCTGCAAAAAAATAAATGGGCTATTCTCTTTATTTTTTGTTATTCCACTATTGACAATAGCCTAGAATCAACCTAAGTGTCCAAGAAGACTTGGTTTAACCCTGAGGATTACTAATGTTTTCACTGTGGTCATTGTGGTAGATTATATTACCATTCTCCCATTATCTGGTCTTCCTGCTGTAGTGGCCCTATCTCCTAGAAGATTATACATTTCTGTCCTATTGAAGGAAGGGTCAGATTTAGACATGTGACCTGTTTGGCCAGTGAAATGCAGGTAGAAGTGGCATGTGTAACTTGTAAGCAGAAAATTTCCTTTTTCAAGGATCTGGGAGCCATCTCTTTCAAACGTAATCCTCCAGAAAGATAATACCTTATTTCCCAGTCTCCATGAGAGAGTAAGAGCCTAGTCTTGCTCCAAGTTGTAAAAATTACCTTATATCATAAAGATAAAAGAAAGTTTATTTTTCCTTTGAAAAAAACAGTTAGCAAAGACAGGTGGCCTATGATCGCCCCCTTACCCTCACTTTCAAAAACTCCACGGCCCTTTGTGTTAGGGGAGCTGAGTTCAGACGAGGTCTGGACTCTCTCCAGTATTGCAGTAGCTTGAATAATATCTTCCTTACTTATTTAACTTTTTCCAGTGCAATTTTTTCTTTGACTTTTTCCTCCCTCTCTAAAACTTACATTGAAATTTTAGTAGGATTCAAGGCAGCCAATCTCGAAGCTTGAATATATAAAAGAACCCTTTAAGATTAAAAAACCCATATTATCTTCCATAAGTTATTTCTTCGGACTATTGCCTTATTAAAATTTTCTAGTTCTTATTTTTGCATTGAAAAGGAGAATGATGATTTTTAAATAAGTTCCTACTCACTTTTAATTTCTACTATAACAGTTTTATTGCTTTTCATGGCAATAGATTCCTCTGGTTCAACAAGAAGGCCAGAACAAGGAAGTACAGAAACATCTCAATATATCTCAAAAAGTTATTTAACATGGACAGTGTCATTTAATATCTTTAACATCCCTATCAAATGGATGCCATTATTGTCCCCCTTTTACAGGATATTAAAACTTACATACTGTAAATAACCAGCTGAAAGTCATATAGCATGGAAAATACAATAAGCATACAAAGAAGCAATGGCATTTGAAGTGGAGGAGGGTGAAGGATTAAAAGGCTAAACTTAGTTTGGTTAAGAAAAAAGAATACTAGAAGGTGGCAAACTCTTGTTGGAAAGGGGAAGGATTTGGGCAGAGCAAGGTAGTGGAGTAGATCTCTCCAGTAATCATACCCCTACGACACATCTATATGAAAAAATATCCACATATGAAATTAACTTTACAAGAGCTAATGAACCCCGAATACATGAGTGAGTCTATGAAGTCCCTTTGGACTGTAAAGAGGAGTAAAACCATGCTTGGACAGTAAGGGAAACAGTACTCTGTGACTGTGATACTCCTCCCCCAGGCCATAATGGTATTATATGCAGAAAGTCCTCCTGAACTCACAGTTCTTACACTGAATAAAGTGAACAGAAGTTGAATATTTTTTCCACCATACTGAGTGCCTTCACAGTAGACTTACTCCTGCATCAGCCCACAAGCAGCACCATGAGTGTTAACAGAGCTGAACCACCAGAGGCATGCTAGGGACATAGAGAAGGGATTGGGTTAGCAATACTTACTATATGAAACTTAGCAGTGGCTAGCCATTCCTACCAGAGGAAATATTATACCAGACAGGTTGTTTATGGGCACCACACTGTGGGAAACATGATACACAGACTGTCCAGATTTGATGGCCTGACTTGTTCTCCCCACCAGACAGCAGCCTTTCTGTGGATCACCCATGGGCCCATCCAGTTACATTGCATCAGTGGTGAAGCCCCATTGCAAGACTTATGTCTAATCTTTGCTTTGGGCACCTCCTAATGCTAAAATGGAATATAATGGAAATCCACACAGAATTTCTAAAGAAGCCCACTGAGAAACAGTCAAAAACAAACCCAGACTGAGAAGACTGAAATAAATATTTAATTCATCAATGTGTAGACAGAGATGTACATCTACAAAAAATAAGAATAGCCTAGGAAAAACTGCCTCACCAAATGGAGAAAACAAGGTGTCAGCAACTGAACCTAAAGACATGCAAATGAATGATGTGGCAGACAAAAATATTCAAATAGCTGTTTTTTTAAAAAAAAAAAAAAATCTGTGCACTTCAACAAAGTACAGAGAAACAATATGGAAATTTATGAGAAATTCAACAAAGAATTTAAAATAATGGGAAAAAATCAAATGGAAATCCTGGAGGTGGAAAATTCAGTAAATAAACTGAAAAATGCACTAGAGGGCATCAAGAGCAGAACTGATCAAGTAGAAGAAAAAAAACAGTGAGCTCAAAGATAGGGTCTTTGAAAATATACTGTCAGAGTAGAAAAGAGAAAAAAATGAGAAGAAACAAAGAAAACTTATGAGATCCATGGGACACCATCAGAAAAACAAATCTACAGTGTTAAAATGGAACTAAGAATGAAAAAGAGTTAGAAGCTTATTCAGAGAAATAACAGACAACTTTTTAAACTTGGAGAAGGATTAAGATGTTTAGGATGGCCAAAGCTCACTAATCTGATTTAATCTGAATAAGACAACCACAAGACACATTATAATTAAACTTTTAAACGTCAAAAACAAAGAGTAGGTCCTGAAAGCATTAAGAAAAAGGAAGCGTATAATACATGAGAGAATTCCAATAGGCCTGGCAGCAGACTTCACAGCAGAAACAATATGGGCCAGCAGAGAGTAGGATAATAGAATCAAGTGCTGAAGAAAAAATCTGTCAAGCATGAATACAGTATCCAGCACAGCTCTCATTTAGAAATGAAGGAGAGGTTAAAACATTCTAAGACAAACAAAAGATGAAGGAATTCATTGTAACCATACCTGCCTTAAAAGAAATGTTAAAGAACAGTCTTCAAACTGAAAGAAAAGGTCACTAATATGTAATACAAAAAATTGGAAGGTATAAATCCGCAGGTAAAAATAAATATTCAGACAAATTCAGCATGCTCTAATATAGTAATAACTGAATGTAAACCACTTACATGTTTTTAGTAAGAAGGTTAAAATACAAAACAAAAACAATAACAACTACAATAATTTGTTAAGGGATAAGTGATATAAATGATGTAAATTAAGACATCAAAAATGCAAAATGTGGGGGAGTGATTGAATTAAAGAGCAGAGTGTTTGCTTTTCCCCATTTCTTATTATCAAAATTAAGTTGTTATCCATTCAAAATTATCTATTGAAACTATAAAATATTCTTCACATGCCTCATAGTAACCAAAAGGCAAACATTTTTATTAGATACACTAAAAATAAAAGAACAAGAAACAAAAACACACAGAGAAAATCACTTAAGTACAAAGGAAGACAACAAAGGGACAAAAAGGTACAAAACTTCTAAAAGACAACAAGAAAACAGCATATGGCAGTACAAGTCCTTATCTATCAATAATTACCTTGAATGGAAATAGATTAAACTATCCAGTAAGAAGACAGAGAATGGGTAAATTGATTAAAAACAAGACCTAACTATATTCTTTCTACAAGAGACTCCCATCACCTGTAAATACACACATAAATTGAAAGTGATCAGATGAAAAAATATATTTTATGATAATGGAAACCAAAGAATGCAGAAGTAGTTATATTTATATCAAATAAAATAGACTTCAAGTAAAAAAACTGTAAACACAGACAAACAAGGCCATTATGTAATAATAAAGGGGTCAGTACAACAAGAGAATACAATAATTGTAAATATATACTGCACTCAACATTGGAGAACTTAAATATATAAAGCAAACATTAATAGATCTAAAAGGAGAGATAAAAAACTGTACAATAATGGTAAGAAACTTCGACATCCCATTTTCAGCAATGAACAGATCATTGAGAGAGAATCTCAACAAAGAAACATTTAAACTGCACTCTAGATCAAAAGAATTCAACAGTTATTTACATAACATTTCATCCAACAATTGCATAATTCACTGTCTTTTCACCTGCACATGGAATATTGTCCATGATAGATATGTTAGACCACAAAACAAGTCTTAGCTAATCAAAAAATCAAATCATATCACGTGTTTTTTTAACCATATGGAATAAAGCTAGAAATAAACAACAGGAGGAACTTCAGAAATTGTGCAAATACATACAAATTAAACAACATATCCTTAAACAACCAATGGGTCAATAAAAAATTAATTTCAAAAATGTCTGAAGACAAATAAAAATGAAATCAGAACATATGAAAACTTATGAAATACAGCAAAACAGTCCTTAGAGGGAAGTTTATAGCAATACATTTCTACATCAATAAAGAAGAAAGATAATGAATAAACCATCTAACAATGTATTTCAAGGAACTATAAAATCAAGAACAAACTAAGACCCAAATTAGCAAAAGAATATAAAGATCAGAGCACAAAAATACAAAATGAAGACAAAAAATACAAACGACTAATTAAATGGAGGAATCTTTTTTGAAAACGTAAAATTGACAAATGTTTTGTCAGACTAAGAAAAAAAGAGAAAATTCACATATAATCAGAGATGAAAAAGGATATACTATGATAGACTCTAGAGAAATATAAGGAATCATGAGTAAGTACTACAAACAATTATACGCCAATAAATTGAAAAACTTAGAAGAAATACGTATGCTCTGGACACATATAACCTATCAAAATTGAAGAAAGAAGAAATAGAAAATGTGAACACACCAATGACAAATAATGAGATTGAAGGAGCAATTTAGGCTCTCAGTCAAGGAAAATCCAAAAGACTTCACACAGTAGCTCACATCTGTAATCTCACGGTTTAGGAGCCCAAGGCAGGAGAATCACTAGAGGCCAGGAGCTCAAGATTAGCCTTGGCAACACAACGAGACTCCATCTCTAAAAATAAAAATAAAAATTATCCAGGTATAGTGGTGTGTATTTGTACTCAGGAGGCTGAGGCAGGAGGATCACTTAAGACCAGAAGTTTGAGGCTGCAGTCAGCTATGACTGCACCACTGTATGCCAGCCTCAGTGATAGAGTGAGACCCTGTCTCTAAAGAAATAGAGGAAGAAAGAAAAGTTCACGACTTGGTGGTTTTCCCTGACAAATTCTACAAAACATTTAAAAAATTTATACAAATTATTTACAAACTATTTCAAAAAAATGAAAAGGAGGGAACTCTTCCAAAGTCATTCTATGAAGACAGCATTTCCTGATTCCAAAATGAGATAAGAACAGCAAATAAAAGAAAACTCCAGGCCAATATCATTGATAAACATAGATGCAAACATTCAAAACCAGCAGTTCTAGCAATGATATTTCAAAAGCACATTAAAAAGATTATCCACCATAATCAAATGGTATTTACCCGGGGAGGTAAGGATAGTCTAATACATGTAAATCAATAAAATCTGATACATCACATTAAACAATGAAGGATAAAATACATATAATCGTTTCAATAGATGCAGAAAAAGCATTTGACAAAATTAGACATCCTTTTATGATCAAACCTTTTAACAAATTAGTTATAAAAGAACATAATAAAATAAAGACCATATGTGATAACCCACAGGCAACATTATATTGAATGGTGAAAACTTGAAAGCTTTGCCTCTAGGATCTGAAACAAGACAAGGATGTTCACTTTAATCACTTTTTTCAACATAGTAATGGAAGTCCTAGTCAGAACAATTAGGTAAGAGAAAGAAATAAAAGGCATCCAAATTGGAAAAAAAAAAAAGTCAAATTGTCCCTCTTTGCAGATGACATGATCATATATGTAAAAAAACCCTAAATACACCACTGAGAATCAGAAATAGTAAATGAATAAAATAAGGTTTCAGGATACAAAAGCAACATAAAAAATCAGTAACATTTCTATACACCAATAGCAGACTATCTGAAAAAGGAATCAAGAAAGTAATCCCATTTAAAATAGCTATTAAAAAAACAAAATACCTACAAGTAAATTAAGCCACGGAAAGATGAAAATTATTAAACATTGATAAAAACAATTAAAAAATTAAAATAAATAGAAAGATATCCCATGTTCATGGACTAGAAGAATTAATATTGTTGAAATGACCATACTATGAAAATCAATCTATAAATCCAATATAATCTCTATCAAATTTCCAATTTCATTCTTCACAGATGTTAAAAAAATCTTAAAATTCATGTGAAACTACAAAACACCCCAAATAGCAAAATAAATCTTAAGCAAAAAGAGCAACACTAGACGTATTACACTATCTAATTTCAAAATATATTACAAAGCTATCTTAACTAAAACAGCATGGTATTGGCATAAAAACAGGCACATAGACCAGTGGAACAAAAATAGAGAACCCAGGCATAAAACCACATATTTACATGCAACTTATTTTTGACAAAGATGCAAACATTCAATTTTGGGAAAAGACAGTCTTTTCAACAAATGGTGCTGGGAAAGTGCATATCCACATACAAAAGAATGAAAGTAGACCCCTATCTCTCATCATATACAAAAATCAACACAAAATAAATTAAATATTTAAAGGTAAGACCCCAAACTATGAAACTAGTAGGAGAAAACTTAGGTGAAATGTTATATGTCATTGGTCTGGGCAAGGACTTTTTAGAAAAGACATCGAAAGACATGCACAACAAAAGCAAAAATAAACAAATGGGATTATACCAAATAAAAACTTCTGCACTGCATAGGAAACAATCACAAGAGTGAAGACACAACCTACAAAATGGGAGAAAATATCTGCAAACTATTCACTTCATAAGGGGTTAATACCCCAAATTTATAGAAAACTCAAACAACTCAATAGCAAAAATACAAATAATTGGATTAGAAAATAGTCAAGACAGCTGAATAGACATTTCTCCAAACAAGACAAAAAAAATCACCAACAGGTAAATGAAAAAATGCTCATCATCACTAATAGTCAGAGAAATGCAAGTCAAATCCACAGTGAGATATCATCTCACCCTGCTTAGAATGGTTTTTATGAAAAAGTCAAAAAATAACAAATGCTGGCAAGGATGTGAAGAAAGGGGAATTTTCATACACTGTTGGTGGAAATGTAAATTAGAGCAATTGTTATGGAAAACAATATAACTTCCAAAAACATTAAAAATAGACTTATCACAAAATCCAACAATCCCACTACTGGGTATATATTCAAAGAATATTAAATCAGTATGTCAAAGAGATTTCTGGACTCTCATGTTAATTACAGCACTATTCACAATAGCCTAGAATCAACCTAAGTGTCCATCAATGAATGAATGGAGAAAGAAAATGTGGCATATATGCTGTATTTGGTCATTCTTGCATTACTATAAAGAAATACCTGAGATTGGATAATTTAAAAGAAAAGAGACATAATTGGCTCCTGGTTCCATGGGCTGTACAGGAAGCATAATGCCAACATCTGTTTGACTAGTCAGGAAGCTTGGGAACTCGTTCACTATCATGAGGATAGCACCAAGCCATGAGGGATCCACCTCCATGACCCAAACACCCCCTACCAGGCCCAATCTCTAACAGTGGGGATTGCAATATAACATGAGATATGGGTCAGGACAAATATCCAAACTATATCATATGCACATTTGGTCATAATAAAGGGTAAAATCGTGTCACTTGTGACAACATGAATGAGCATAGACGACATTGTGGTAAGTGAAATAAGCTAACCACGGTAAGACAAATATCACATGATCTCATTCATATGTGAAATCTAAAAACACTGATCTAATAGAGAGTAGAAGAGTGGTTACCAGACTGGGAAAGATAGGGAGGAGAGGTTTTAACAATGTGTCATGTATCAAAATACCACATTGTGCCACATCAACATGTGAAATTATCATGTATCCACTTAATAAAAGAAAAGAAAAAAGAAAATGGAAGAGTCAAGATACTGGGGCACTGGAAGAAATAGAAGAGAAGGTGAGTTGGCAGTAAGGAAGAGAGAGTCTGAAAGAGCATGTCACAGAGTGGAACATTAAAGTTTATAACATTAGAAATCAATTTTTAAGTTATTGAAAAGTTAAGTTTATAGCCGTGAAAATGAGTAGCTCAATTGAAGTGAAAGTAAAAGTCAATGAAAGATTAAATTAGAAAATATATTGCTTGGCATTTAGTAGTTACTTCAGAAATATTAATAAATCTTAAGAAAATTAAGAACACCAAAGCATTCATAGTGGGCCATTATCATAATACGAATTTATGTGGTAATATTTTATTCTTTCCAGTGAAGGGAGTAATTCAACAGTCTTGATTACAGGTTAGAAAATGATTTCTCCAGGTGTGACCCACTGACCACATTCATTGTATTTGAATTGCTTGAGCAATTTGTTTCAGGAGAAAATGGAAAGATTTTAAGATGGACCAACGAAATTACCACTGAGTGTCTTTAATGGAAATCTCATCCTTGTCTAGAATAACCTGGGTTATCTGTTTCTATGGAGTCTCTGTGCCTTTTGTTTTCTTTGTTATTTGCAATTCTGTTAGTTGTAGATTACTGATAGTAATGCAAATATTCTTGTCTATAGACAGGCAAATGATTGATTTTGGTGGAAGTATAATTAATTTTCCTTTTTCCAGCTACCATCAAGAAGTCAGTTTTGAACCTATCAAGCAAATTTATTTCAGTGTTCCTTAGTGCCTAGATATGTGTGGCTCTTAATTTTCCATAAAACTTAGTATAATATCTTACTGGCTCCCTCATTAAATAAATGAGTTAAAAATCTTAGACAAGTGTTCATTTTATATTTGTAAGTCATAACCTACCCTATTTTAAGCAATTTTCCTTTATCATTCCTAAAAATCCAGATTCCTATGTCCCATGCTAGACCTATTGAATCAAAATCTCAGGCCTAAGGCACAAGAATTTACATTGTTAGTAACTTTTCAAGTGATTTTTAGGCATACTAAATTGTATTAACCTTTACCATTCTAATTCTTTAAACTGGAATTATTGTATTTATAATTCCATCTTTGTCAAATTAAACTTTTGGTTAGCAAAAACGGTAGAAACCCCCTTATTCAATCAGATTGGGCCCAGTAATAAACAGATTAATCACAAATTTAAGTTAGATGGAGGAATCATAAGAAGTATTAGATGTAAGTCCTTAAAACTTAACTTTAATTTAAAAGACATGTGTAAATAAGTTTGCCAGAATTTTGATGACAAGGTCAAAGCCTTGCACGGGTTCAGAGTGGAGTTTCTTGTGGAAACTATGCCAATGATACGTTGTCATGGATTTCTTGTTCACTTTCTGTAAAGACAACTGGGGTAAAGCAATCTGAAATCCTAGATTACACAATTTTTCCCAGTTGTTTCTAGTTGTCTTGCCAACAGTTAAGCTGACAGCAACTGTTTGAGTTTCTCATTTTTCCAACACATTTAGTTTATTTCTCAAAGAAACAACAATATTACTCTTGTTATACTCATTTTCTCAGTTTACATAATATTTATTTATTTATTTATTTTCAGACAGAGTCTCAATCTGTCACCCAGGCTGGAGTGCAGTGGTGCGATCTCTGCACACTGCAAGCTCCGTCTCCTGGATTCATGCCATTGTCCCGCCTCAGCCTCCCCAGTAGCTGGGTGTACAGGCACCCGCCACCAGGCACAACTAATTTTTTTGTATTTTCAGTGGAGACGGGGTTTCACCGAGTTAGCCAGGATGGTCTCGATCTCCTGACCTAGTGATTCACCCGTCTCAGCCTCTCAACATAATATTTAATTAAATCGCATAGCTACAAGAACAAGAACAAATGGTGTAAACATATTTAGGAATCAACACAGCTTCCTCTTAGAAACTATACAATTTCTGTGATGGAAGGAGAAATGTACAGGCATTAAAAGTAGCTCAAAAGCTTTCAGTTTACAGTGGACATCAGTCAATAAGTTGTACAGGGGTACCAGAAAGTGCTGATTGCAGATCAGTTAAGTGGAGGTCAGTTGAGGCAGCATCCACTGTATCCTAATTTGTAAAGTGAATGTTCTAAAACTGGGTTCACTTTTGCTATAAAGGACCAGATGATAAATATTTTAGGCTTTGCGAACCATACGGTTTCTATAGCAACCATTCAACTCTACCATTGTAGCAGGAAAGCACCATAGATCCATGGATGTGCTCCAATAAAACTTTATTAAAACAGGCAGCTGGTCTGAGGGCCATGTATATATCTTGCTGTTTTCATACAATTTTCTAAGTTAGTAGTTCCCTGCCTTTTTAACAATCAAGGATTACTTTTAATCCTCTCCTCTGATTTTATGTTTCAAAAGCCTTAAGAAAACCCCACAAAATATATTTATTTTGTAATTTTGGGGGGGTTCTTACTTTACTAATAAGTAATCAATGATATATAAAGGCTACCCACCAGGTCAGTATGAAATAATCAACATTATTAACTCTAATGACTTAGTTCTGGATAGAAATAAAAAGTATTCAACTATATATATATAACTTAAAACCTGTATAGCTTTTTCTGGTGTAAATAAATATATAACTTTTTGAGATTTTTCAAGTATTAAATACAACGTTTGGGAATCCTCACACCTGGCTCCCTATGATGACATTCAAGAATTCTTAGGATTCTGGGAATCTTAGAATGAAAGTCTCTGCTCTGTAGGAATGAATGAATGAATGAATAAGAAAGGGAAGGAAGAAGAAAGAGCATGTTTACTAAATGTAAATTAATCATCAAGGAACGTTTATTTTATTAATAAATTTGTCAACTTTAGGTTGCCAAATCTAACAAGATACCAACATGGCATTCATGGCGATCACACCTCTAGTCAAATTTTATTTTAGTTCATTGATTATAGTATTAATATCCTGAAATACTCAAAAATTCTGTCCTAATTCTGTGAATAATTCACTTATTAATCACCCTATACACTACTTAATGAATGGAATGGTGCTTGGAATAAAGATAATTACAGGGCTAAAAGGGTTTTCTCTAGAGGCAGGTTATAAGATTTTGTTGTCTGACTGGAATGAAACAGAATTAATCAATATTTTCTGCAACCAGTGGCTTTTGACTTAGTCGTCTATTAATATCTATCAATCACTATAACCTCAGTCCTATTTCCTCCCTTCTTCTTTTTGCTATCATAAAAACTTGTCCATTTTTTTCCTGTTAGATCTATATGTTTCTCCTATTTTCTTTTCATCCAAACAACTGGACATGAACTTAGTACAGATAGTGCAATTGATCCAAACCCTACAGAACTCACTGTTTCCATTTACATAACTTACATAACTGTCAAACTGAAATCACTCTCAAATTTTTTAATTCAAAATTTTAATTTTATTTAATCATATTTATTTATTCATTAATTAACTTATTTTGAAAATAATTTTAACTTGTATTTTACATTCAGGGGTACATGTGCCAGTTTGTTACATGGGTATATCTCATAATGCTGAGTTTTGGGGTATGAATGATCCCATCATCCAGATGCTGATTTGGTATGGTTTGACTCTGTGTCCCCACCCAAATCTCATGTTGAATTATAATTCCCAATGTAGGGGGAATGACCTGGTGGGAGGTGATTAGCTCATGATAGCAGACTTCCCCCTTGCTGTTCTTAGATGGTAAGTGAGTTCTCATGAGATCTGATGGTTTAAACATATGACACATCCCCCCGGCTCACTTGCTCTCCTGCCACCATGGTAGAACGTGCCTTGCTTCCCCCTTCACCTTCTGCCATGATTATAAGTTTCCTGAAGCCTCCCAGCCATACTTCCTGTACAGCCTGTGGAACTATGAGTCAGTTAAACCTCTTTTCTTTATGAATTACCCAGTCTCGGGTAGTTCTATATAGCAGTGTGAGAACAGATTAATACATGAGCATAGTACCCAATAGTTAGTTTGTCAAACCTTGCCTTCCTCCTTCTCCCCTCTAGTAGTCCTGGTGTTTATTCTTTCCATCTTTATGTCCATAAGTACCCAGTGTTTATCTCCCACTTATAAGTGAGATCATGTGGTATTTTGTTTTGTATTCCTGCATTGATTTACTTAGGATAATGGCCTTCAGCTACATCCATGTTGCTTCAAAGGACATGATTTTGTTAATTTATGGCTGCATAGTATTCCATGGTGTGTGAAATCGTTTGGAAGGTGGCCCCTATAAATCTCATGGTGAAATGTAATCCTCAGTGTTGGAGGTGGGGCCTGGTAGGAGGTGTTTGGGTCATGGGGGTGGATCTCTCATTACCTGATACCGTCCTTGTGATAGCGAATTCTTTCAAGATCTGGTTGTGTAAGGGTGTGTGGTACTTACCCCCACTCCCATTCTCTCTTGCTCCTGCTCTGGCCATGTGATGAGCCTACTCCCTCTTCACCTTCCATCATGAGTAAAAGCTCCCTGGAGACTCCACAGGTGCCATCAGATGCTGTCACCATGCTTCCTGTACAGCCTGCAGAGCTATGAGCCAATTAAATCTCTTTTCCTTATAAGTTACCCAGTCTCAAGTATTTCTTCATAGCAATGCAAGAATGGCCTAATAATACTGTGTGGATGTGCCACATTTTATTGATCAAATCCACCGTTGATGGGCACCTAGGCTGACTCCATGTCTTTGCTATTGTGAATAGTGCTGCAATGAACATGCAAGTGCGTATGTGTTTTTGGTAGAATAACTGACTTTATTTGGGTCATAAAACAGTAATGGAATTGTTGGCTTGAAAGGTAATTCTATTTTCAATTCTTTGAGAAATTTTCAAACTGCTTTCAACAGTGGCTGAACTAATTTACATTCGCACCAATTATGTGTAAATGTTCCCTTTTCTCCACAGCCTCCCAAGATCTGTTGTTTTTCGATTTTTTAATAGTAGCTATTCTGACTGGTATAGGATAGTATCTCATTTTGGTTTTGATTTGCATTTCTCTCATGATTAGTGATGTTAAGCCTAATCTCTGCCACCTGAAAACTAGGAAAATACAATGTCACTTGTCAAAATAAATTGTTTTACTTTGCTTTAAAAATAGTTAATTGAGTAGTATATTTCTTCCAGCAAAATTAAGAAGTAAACATTTAGAAATGTACAGTACTTGCTGTTAAGTCCTCGCACAAGTATACCAATCCAACACAAAGGCCATCTTAAACTTTCATTTGAAATGAAAGACAATTTTTAAGAGGTTAAGGGCTAGTAATTTGTTAAAGTCCTGAAGTTAAATTAGCTCAAGTAAATACAAAGACTTTCCTTTAATTAAAGCCTTTTAAATGAACACTTTAAAGCATGGTTTGTTTCTCCCTCAAATCTTGTCCAAAGCCACTGTTTACAACTCAGTATATCAAAGAAGGTTTCAGACATGATTGTGAAGCTCCCTCAACTTACAATGTGCTATTTGCAACCTTAGATGGCTATCATTCTGGCTTTTCTACCTTTTAGCAACAATAAGCACACCCTTCCCATTTCTCCCCCACCCTGACTTACCCCTCTTTGCATTTAATATATAATTTTTCTCAGAGTGTTCTTACACATCTTTAACTGTAAATATGACAAAAGCACACAGTATAGTACATGTGCCACATGTATAAATGTTGTATCTAGTCATACAATTTTCCTTTTAAAAAAGAAATATTTTATTTTCAAAAAGCAAAGACTCTAGGAATCTTTTCTAGCTGCCAGTCATAAAAACATAAATTTCTGGTTAGATTCCCAAATTTGCCTGACCATAAGAACCACTTGTGGTACTTCTCAAACACATGTATTCTGAGTCCCATCCGTGATCTCCTGAATCAGAATCAGCAGGTGTGAGGCCTGGGAATACACATTTTAAACAAACGTCCACAGTGATTAAGATTAGTCAAGCTTGAAAAAAATTTCACTAGGATCTTTATGACTGAACATCCTCACAAACATAGGAAAGTTACTGGAGAAAAATATGAGCAGAATTTCAGAATTCTCTCTTTGCTGAAAGTGTTTGTTCCCTCCTCCTCTACTCATCAAGACCTGACTGCTTATGTAACGCCCCAAACCACCAACACCTGGAAGGAGTTGAAAATGATTTTAATGAAGAAGAAAAGCTCATGTTTAATTTCAAAACTGATGGTGACAATAGAAGGAAGAGGCATGAATTTATCTTGATTCTAACACAAAGCATTGTATTTGAGTCTACAAACGAAATTGGTTTCATTTTTATTTTTTGTAAGTTTTCGCCAAACTCTAGGCATATATAGAGGCTGGGCAAGAAAGAAAGAAACCCAGAAATATGGCATATGCGATCCCTTATTTATTTCCCCATGCGACCAGCCAACAGCTTCTTCACCTAGTCCCTGCTTCAAGCTGACTTTCTGTCTACTTCTCTATCGGAAATGGAGTTTCCCTAAAGACCGCCTCAATGTCAGTTACCCACAGGCCATTTTTCCATCTTGTGCTCCTAAACTTCTATGATATTAAATGATATTACCCTTTCTGGAAATTGTCCTTAGCTTTGATTTTATAATTTTACTCTAACTTTGTTTCATTCCTTCTTTTATAGCCTTTCTTTTCTCTATCCCTTTACTGCAGACATGTTGTACGGCTTTGTTCTTGACCTTCTGATCTCTCCACATTCATTCCCTCAGAGCATGTATCCATTTTCTTGGCGTCGCCCTTCCTAACTATCTGATTATTACCATCATATAACGATGTTGGTGATGAGCATAGCTAACATATCCTAGGCATTTTCCATGTAGGTTATAATAAGCACCCTATATAATTCGTACCATTTAATTCTTCAACTCTAAATGATACTATTACTAACCACATTGTATGAGATGAGGAAACAGATTTTCATCAAAACCATGGAAAGCCAACGTGAGGAGCCCCTGTGTGTCTCCTTTGTTAATGCCTCTGGGCATCATGGCATGTGGATTGTGGTGGAATGGGGATTAGGAAGCGCAGCACTGTGAAAACACCAGAAAATATGATAGCGGGTAAGGACGCTAATCTCTGCACATTGAGATGGTTTTGTTTCTGAGTCAGGTTTGAGATGAGCCAATCCTGACTCCATGGTGCCACTGGGGATCACAAATTTAGTAAGATCTTCGTGGATGCTTGGAACCCAACTGGTCTCTGTTTTCTACTTTAGGGAAAGAGCCACAACTTGAGTGGGGTGGTTTTGGTGTCACATACGTTATCAATAATACCCACCGTTTTGGTGTCACATAAGCGATTAATAATACCCATCGCTGCGGAGGAATCACCGTGGACTACTCCTCGTTTCATCCCATGCTCTTGCGATGGATCCCTGTCACCTGTTTACTGATTTCATTCAAATTCTTCAGCGACCACAGGACTCCGATTTGCCTTCTCTATCCTGGTTCCCATCACTCTGCTTTACAGGCCTGGCCTGCTCGCGGCTCCTCACACCAGCGCTGCACGGCTCCCTCCTCGCCTCTGCCCTGTTTCCTCCAGCAGACAGGACTAGCTTCCTCCATCTCTATCGGGCAAAAGCCTGCCCAGCGTTCAAGACCCTCCTCAGATGCCGCCTCCACGATTAGGCTTCTTCCTGACCCCTGAGCCTGTAACACGCGCCACCATAACTCTCCACCTTAGCCCACATTCCCACAGCACTCGCGACGTCCGCGGCCCTCAACATGGCACTTCATTCTATTTTAGGGTATTTCCTGCTTGTTTCCTGCACACACAGTCGCGCGAGGCACAGCCCCGAGTGACCCGCGCACGAGTGGACCGCGCTTCCAGACTCGCCGCCGCAGGCCGGCGAGGGCAGCCTAAGCCGCTTCCCGCCCCCGCGGGGACCGTCACCAGCCCGCAGCTCTAGCGGGAGGCGGTTCCACAGCGAGCCCGGCAGTCCCGCCACCGTCAGCACCGGCGCCTTGGGCGAGCTTTCCCCACTTCTGGGAGGCACAAATCCTCAGGGGCTCCTCGAGAGGAAACGAGGGAGCAGATGCGTGCGGACACCTTTCGGCCCTCTGCGGCCGCGGTAGCTCCCTGGCAGAAACCCGGAAGTGGAAATCTCAGCCATTCAGCGTTTGGGTAAAGACGAAGGCGGGTTCTGGACAGACTTACGCTGTCAGGGAGTGTTTACTTTGCCTCAACTTCTTTTCCTCCCCGCCCTGGTGCTGCTCCAGGTCACACACTCGTCCTGAGCCGGCTTCAGCCTCTCCGCACAGAAGTCTCCCGGAGCCATGGCCTAGTACTCTTATGTGAAGTCTACCAAGCTTGTGCTCAAGGGAACCAAGGCGAAGAGCTGGGTCCTGCAGCTCCAGCGGGAGCCTCCTCAGTTCTTTTCGGATGCACTCCACCCCCGCGAATCCGGTGGAAGCCGTGGTGCGGAGAGCAGGCTTCGTGGCCTCCCAGGTTTCGCGGCCTCCCAGGTTTCGCCCTGACCCTGTCTGGGCTGGACGGAGGCTGGACCGCGGTTCCTGGCGCCTGTGCAGAGAGGGGCAGCCTCCCGCGCGGACGACCCTGTTAACAGGATAGATGGGCGGGTGACCCGTGGCCCCGTACCCACGAGTTTGGGTCCGCTGAGGCATCTCTCCCGGCCTCTGCCTGGTGGGTCTGCGTTTGTCTGATCTTGTAGTTCATGATAATAACTTCCTTTACTAGGGATTATTCTTTTCTCCATTGTCTCTTCCTGGAAAAATTATTGATTATTTTTTTCTAAGCTAGTATGTAGAGTGAAACCAGGATGAATCACACAGTGGTTGAGGTGTATATAGGCTTTGATAGGGATATGGGCTGGAACCTGCACTCCGTCATTTACTAATTTTGTAATTTGTGGCAAATTGGTTAATATGTCTGAACTTCCATTTACTCATTAAGAGATCAAGTATCTTTAAACCTCCGTTTACACATTTATACTTTCAGACCATTTTTTATACCTTTAGAAGACTGTGAGGATTAAATTAGAGAACGTATATGCAGTAAATAAATTGAGCCAAATGTGAGGAGGAGGTCGTAGTGGTAATTTATTAGCTCTTTAGGAGAAAAATACCTGTGCATTCATATCCCCGCTTCTTTTTTAACTGGCAGATTTGCCTGAGGTTGACTGTACATACAAATATTGAGCATTTCCTCCTGGTCTCCGTGATAAACAGAGGTTTTGATATTGTTAGGCGAGATGGAAAGAAAGTATCAAGGAGTGAGCTGAAGCCACTGCCCTTGAGAACCCTCTCGAGGAGTCTGGCCTCATGAAGATGCCAGAATAAATGGCAGGTATATCCTGAATGAATGTGAGATTTTTACTCTGTGAATTTCCTGTGAGGAGTGGTGAGTTATCTTCTGAAAACTTTATGATGAAAATGGAGACAAGAGTGTCTTAAGATTATCGTAATAATCATAATTAATGCTTATATAGCACTTTCAATGCGCCAAGAAATTGTTGTAGGCACTTTGCACATTAACTTTTTTCAAATCGCTCCTGGGTTTTTATTTTTTTATTGCGATGTAATTCATAATTATGAAATTCACCCTTTTGTACAGTCAGTGGTTTTTAGTACATATTCAAGAGGTTCACCACTGTCTAGTTGCTCAACATTTTCGTCATCTCAGAAGGAAATCTCTTCCTACCCATTAAAGCAGTCACATCCCATCCTCCCTCTCTCCTAGTCCTTGGCAACCACTAGTCTGCTATCTATGTGAAATTGCCTATTCTGAATATTTCCTAAGAAATCATGCAACATGTGACCTTTTGTATCAGTCTTCTTTCACTTATAACATTCTTGAGGTCCATCATTGTTGTACCACTTGTTCCTTTTTATGGCTATGTAGTATTCCATTGTATGGATGTAACATTTTGTTCATCCATTCATCAGTTGATGAACATTTAGGTTGTTTCCCCTTTTTGACTATTGTGACTAATGCTAGTGTGAATAGTCTTACGTAAGTATTTTTGTGGGTGTATGTTTTCATTTCCCTTGGGTATACATACTTAGGAGTAAAATTGCTGGGTCATATGGTAAGTCTTTAACTTTTTGAGGAACCCCAAACTATTTCCTGTAGATGTTGCACCATTTTACATTTCCACCAGCAATGCGTGAAGATACATATTACCTCTTAATCCTCACAATAGCCTTAAGAGTTATTATCTTAATTTTTTAAGTGGGGAAACTGACTCCCAGAGAGATTCAGTACCTTTTCCAAAAATCACAGAGCTAAGAAGTGACAGAATCAGGATTTAAAATCTGGCAGTGTGGCTCTACAATCTGCTTTGAACTTTAACATAATATGTACAAAGCCTGAAGCAACTTCTCAGTACTGTATTTAAGAGGGCATAGCAATGTAAGTCTTCCTAAATCAATACTTTATAAATGAAGCAGCTTAAAAGACTTCCAAGTTTCAATCTTACGATATTTATTTATCACACAAATCAATATACCTAAACTCATCTGTATAAATAATGTCCTGTAGTAAGAAGAAAACGAGGAAAGATAAGAAGAGAAAAAGAGAAGAAGATGAAGAAACCCAGTTTGATATGTTGGTGAGTCAGTTTTCAGTGCTTTATTCTGAAAAAAGTTAACATTTCCTGAGATCTCATTGAAAATATTTTCCTAGTTAGAAATTTATGATGTATTCATATTTGTCTTAAAGTGCTTAAATATTACCTACAGTTGTAAATTCCATTTATTCTTTAGCACAGTAGATGCTACTGATCCCTTTACTTCATTATCAGAACAGAGCACAGGAGAGAAGAATTACAACTCTCTGACTTAGTAGGCACCATTAGACTGCTTAATAGCCAGAGATTCTGATACATAATTTTAAAGGCTTAATGTAAATGTTATTCAACCAAATATATTTTACAAGTTATTTTCTTTGAACATGTATACATTTTAGTTGTAGAAGTCAGTTGTCTCTTAAACGAAGTATCTTCACAGGAAAAATCATCATTTTGTGAACTCTGAAATGAATGAAAATTTTAAATACAATATCAGGGTAGCCTGTAAATGATACTAGAAATAAACTGACCCAAACACACTTAACCAGCCTGTTTTCCACTTAGTTGTTTCCGTACTTTTTTTCTCTTTTAAAACTTGGCAAATTGCATTTTGAATCTTCATAATTTATGGTAGCTTAAAAAATATATAAAATATGGAATGGTATAAAGCTAATGTTCTGGAAGAATCATTACTTTTGAAATGGCAAATCAATAATTCTAAAATTAGCGTAAATATCTAGGGTAGATATGTAGATGTGGAATTGCTGTGTCAAAGGATAGGTGAATGTTTAACTATATAAGAAACTGCCAAAAGTTTTCTAAAGTGGTTGTGCCATTTTACTCTCCCACCAACAATGAATTAGTTCTCCAGTTACATCGTTGCCAAGAGTCGATGGAGTTATCAGTCTTTTCTCCAAGTCTGAGTTTTACCTTTTCAGTTTCTTAATGGTAGTTTTTGGATGGACAGCTTTTTTTTTTTTTTTTTTAAGATTTCTATATTGGTGTTGATGGGAGATATTGGACTTTTGTATCCTTTTCTTGTAATGTCTTTATTTGGTTTTGGTGTCAAGGTGATATTAGGTGTCATAAAATTAGATGGGAAGGGCTGTCTCCTTCCCTGTTTTTGGAAATAGCTGTGTAAGATCGGTATGATTGTATATTGTATGGATTATATTGTATGGATTAGTTTGGATATTTCCATAATAAAAGGTTTTAAGGATTCTGTTAATTCCACTGCACAAAATTTTCTGTTCAACTAAACATTTCATTGGTGAAAATTTTGAGGAGCTTGTCTCCCAGAAATTTCTTCTTCATTTGCAAAACATTAATGAGTTATTATATTTAAATTATTTTATTTAATATTAAGTGTACTTGGTGAACGTGGCATAGAACATACAAAATAAAACTAATTTAAAATTATTAACTATTACATTTATAAGAAAGACTTGCTAATCATAACACTGTTCATAATGATTTTGAATAAAGCATTATTTCTTTTACTGAAAACAATTGTAGCTATAACTCAATCATCTAAATCGTCATTAGTTTTATTGCTTTCTAATCGTCTTTAGCTGAAATTTTAATTTTGATTAATTTTCTTTTTCTCCATTGGTTTTGTGTGTGTGTGGAGGTAAAATATACAGAATATAGAATTTGCCAGTTTTTCTATTTTTACGTGTACACTTCAGTGGCATTTAAATACATGCACCATTTTACCTTCCCACCAGCATTGCACAGGGTTTCAGTTTCTCCACATCCTGCCCAACATTTGTTTTTCTGGTTTTCTTTGTTTCTGTTTTTTGTTTGTTTTGATAATAGCATTCTAATGGGTGTGAAGTGGTATTGCATTATGGTTTTGATTTATATTTCCCTAGTGATTAGTGATGTTGAGCGTCTTTTCGAGTGCTTATTGGCCATTTGTATATCATCTTTGGAGCAGTGTCCGTGTATATCCTTTGCCCAGTTTTGAATTGTGGTATTTATCTTTTTGGAGTTCTCTATATAGTCTGGATATTAATTCCGTATCATGTATGTAGTTTACAAATATTTTCTCCATTCTCTGGGTTGCCTTTTATTCTGTTGACAGTGGTTCTTGATGCACAAAAGTTTTTAATTCTGATGAAGTCCAGTTTGTCCGTGTTTTCTTTTGTTGCCTGTGCCTTTGATGTTCTATATAAGAAATCATTGCCAAATTCATTGTTGTGAAGCTTTTCCCATTTTCTCCTAAAAGTTTTCTAACTTTAGCTCTTACATTTAGGTCTTTGGTCTATTTTAAGTTACTTTTTGTATTTAGTGTTATATAAGGGTCCAACTTCATTTTAGCTAAAATTTTATGTATTTTAAAATTGATAATGAAAAGGATGAAATGTTTAGTTGAATAGAAAATTTTGTGCGGTGGAATTAACTGAATCCTTAAAACCTTTTTATTATGGAAATATCCAAACTAATCCATACAATAAAATCCATACAATATACAATATAATCCATACAATATAATCCATACAATATAATAAGTCCCCCATGTGCCCAGGCCCCAGCATTAATTATCAATATTTTGCCAAGCTCGTTTCATTTACATACACACCCCCACACACATTTTTTCCTAGAAAATTTTAAGTAAAATCACAGATATTACATCATTTTACCCATAAGTATGTAAATATACATTTCTTAACGTGGTATGTCTTTCTCTCATCACATGTTTTGTTCTTTACTTTTATACATTATACTGTGTCATTATCAGACCTTGTAAAATTAACAAGAATTCCTTAATATGTCATATCCAGTTAATGATTGACTCATTTCTACTCTAGTTAAAGTACAATTTAGGAGGAGGTTTGAGGATATTTTTTAACATTAAGATAGAAACTTTTATAAAAACTGCTAAAATAATTGTTGCTAGAGTCTAACATTTCTATTGGCAAATTGGAAATTAGTATACATAGGCATAGATTCTGCTCATTTTGCTTTCAATCTAAAATCACAGTTAAGATTACTGGCTGGGTGCGGTGGTTCACACCTGTAATCCCAGCACTTTGGGAGGCAGAGGCGGGTGGATCACGAGGTCAGGAGTTCAAGGCCAGCCTGGCCAATGTGGTGAAACCCCGTTTCTACTAAAAATACAAAAAAAAAAAAATTATTCAGGCATGGTGGTAGGCTCTTGTAACCCCAGCTACTCGGGAAGCTGAGGAAAAGAATTGTTTGAACCCAGGAGGCGGAGGTCGCAGTGAGCCAAGATCGCATCACTGCACTCCAGCCTGGGCGACAGAGTGAGACTCCGTCTCAAAAAGAAAAAAAAAAAAAAATTACTATGCTAGAAAGTCTTCCTGTAGAGGCAATTTTAAGAAGCATTATGATAGGCATTGCCTCTGGAAAGCAGGCATGAATAGATGGCTGGGGTCTATCATGAGAGAGGCCATTCTCCATATATCAATTTGTACCTTCACATGTTGCCTTTTGTTTTGTTTTGGTCTTTTTTTTGAGACAGGACCTTGCTCTGTCACTCAGGCTAGAGTGCAGTGGTGTGATCATAGCTCACTGTAATCTTGAATTCCTGGGCTCAAGTGATCCTCTTTCACAGCTCCCCGAGTAGCTGGGATTACAGACATTCACCCTCATGCCTGGCTGTATGTTGCTTATTTTGTATTTTAAAAACCTAATCCTGACTGTGCTGGTAGTCACATGAATCTGTGCACATACATGCAAACAAGTACATGTAAAACTGGTGAAATCTGAATAAGCTTCATGGATTATATCAATGTCAGTTTCCTGATTCTAACAATGTATGATACTTATGCAAGATGTCATCATTGAGACAGTGAGTAAAGGGTATGTGAGATCTTCGTATTATTTCTTATGACTGCAAAATAAAAAGTTTTTTAAACTAAGTTATAATAACAAAGAACTCTCTGTCAAAACTAAAATATGAAGTTGAAATATCAATTTTATTTTTTAGGAATCTGGTGGACATTAACAAACTTTGGTGAAATTCCAGGAACCATAGCCTTTGAAATGGATGAGGGAACCTATATACATGCACTCGACAGTGGTCTTTTTACCCTGGGAGCTCCACACAGTGAAGGTTTGCCTCTGGAAGGGAAGATCCTGCCACAAGTGTAGATTTTAGGACATTCATTCACTTAGGCCAAACTCTTAACTAGTCTCAAACGTTTTCCAAAGGAATGGAACCGTTGCATTTGACTCTTCCATTTTTTTTAAATTCCTTAATATTTACCAGCAATTGGCAAGTCCCTTTTTCTAATATAAGCATTTGAAAACATTCCGTATAGTTCCAGAAGAGTATCTTTGGAAATCAAAACAATATGAATAATTAAAATAGTAAGTGGAAAGAAAAAAGAAAACCTATTTGAGTCAAATATGTTTGAATTTCTGTTTTATTCAGACCTATTACCAAAACTAACCTGGGTGCATTTAACAATTTGAAGCTTCCTAATTTTCTTTAGCTCATTAGAAGAAGCACTAATGAGATACAAAGTAATTAGAAGATAAAAAGCAGTATCATTTGGTCAGCAAGGCCATCCATTGAATAAATGAAAGCATTTAGCTTTTTTAAATAAGTGCTTATTTATGACTGTATTTTAAAACATAAAGAGAAACTATATTGAAAGTTATTAAATAAGCATTATATCACCCTGTCTTACTCAGTGTATAAAATTAGCACTGTAGTTAAAAGAAGGTAAAATAGAACTTGATTCCAAAGAACAGTATTACAGTGACATCAGTATATCTGAATATTCTTACATTTAATTGCAGAAGAAAATAACCACATTTTTTAAAGCAAAATAATGTCTTTATATTTATAGCAAATGTCAAATTTATTTTCAAATGTTTTTTCTCCAATAGTTGATGAGGGCCCTAGTGCAACAGAGCAGTTTATGGCTGTCAAATTATCTGATTCCAGGTGAGCTTAAGTTGTAATATAATTAGTAACCAGTTATTTTAAAAATTTAATTGTATTCATTAAAAATTTTAGTATCTGTCTTAAGCCCACGGTAATTTTGATATAAAAAACAAAATAGCTTTTTTGAAAAGTAGATTTTGTGATCTACTTTTAGTGGATTTCCTATCAATATATAATGCTAGGCTGGTAAAAAGATTTGTAAGTTAAAAAATGAAGACTAATAATTTCACACACCAAATAAGATAGATTAAAAAATAAATAGTACAAAACCTGGTTCACTGTTGCTATGATATTTAAACTCACTGTTTGGAAGTCTAAAGACAAACAGGAAGACTAAAAAAAGGAATATTGTTGAAACCAGCAGAGAAAGTTACAGCATCATAACGACCAAAAGAATATTTTTACTCAGTATTTTTACAGTCATTTTATAAAGTACCCTTTTTTATTCTCACCTTGTGCAGAAGTATGGAATGATTCTTTGGGTAAAAGATACTGAAAGTGAATTTGCATATTTTAGTAATTGGTTACATTGACATGATAATGATTTCTGTTATATAATCATTAACGTATAAAGGACTAAAAGTCAATTCTGGCATCTGAGGAGATTCTTGGTAAGGTAAAAGAAATCATAATTTTAAAAAATCACATTAAGATGATTATTTCTATACTTTCTTTGGAAGTCTGATAAGTAGGGTAAAAGACAAAGAATAGAAGCAGAGGAAGAAAAAATTCAATAGTTTTAAACTGCTTTACAATTATAAACAAAAAAGGATTATAAAGAAAATTAACTGACAAATGAGGAAAATATTTGCAACAATCTTAATAGGCAGTGAGTTCTTACACTTCATATGTATCTTGTATAGAGTTCATAGCACTGAAGACCCCAGTAAAAAAATTGCAAACAATCAGATCTGAATAGAAAAATGGACAAGGAACATTACCAGATAATCTAAAAACTAAAAAGGAAAGGAAAAGAGAAACAATTGTTATTCTAGTTAACTACTAAAATGCAAAGTAATAGGATACTGTTTTTTTCCATATCAGGTTTTCAAGTATTTTTTTAGAGTCATAATGTTTAAAAAAAAAGTCCATGATACAAAACATACTCTGTTAATTTGAGGTAAGAATGTAAATGGAAGCAGTATTTTCTGGAAAACTGATGACATAAAGTTTTAGTAATTTATTATTGAAGTTTATAACTAAAGAGGTATAATTGAAGAATGATGAATTTTGAAAATATTTGTTATGTAATATATAAGGTACAATGTTTATATTAAAAAAGCAAAATATAAAACTAAATTTAAAGCTACACTGTCCAATATGGCAACAACTAGTCATATGTAGCTTTTTTTTTTTTTTTTTTTTTAAGGCACAGGGTCTCACTCTGTCACCCAGGCTGGAGGGCAGTGGTGTGATCATAGCTCAATATAACCTCAAATTTCTGGGCTCAAGCACTCCTCCTGCATCAGCCTCCCCAAGTAGGTGGTATTACATGTGCACACCACCAAGCCCAGCTAACTTTTTAAATGTTTTGTAGAGATGGGTTCTCACTATGTTGTCAAGGCTGATCTTGAACTTCTTGCCTCAAGCAATTCTCCCATTGCCTTCCCAAAGCACAGAGATTACAGGAGCGAGTCACCACTCAGCCACATGCATCTTTTGAACACTTGGAATATGTCCAGTCTGAAATTTTACATATGTACACACCCACACACATACACATGTCCTGTTTTGATGTTCTATAATTAATTTTCTCTCAGTTTTTAACTTTTATGTGTCTTATTAATATACAGAATCGCCCTGAATTCTGGCTATGGAAAATATCTTGGTATAAATTCAGATGAACTTGTTGTTGGGTGTTCAGATGCAATTGGACCAAAAGAACAATGGGAACAAGTCTTTCAAAATGTAAGTGCTGTTATTGTTTATAAAAACTTCCTGTCAGTTTAACAGAAAGTCTGTAACAGTCAATCATAATGTATTTAAAAAGAAAAAGTAGGATGCAATAGTATAACATATTAAATTGGAATAAATCAGTAAGAACATAGAGCCTTAAAGAGATCTCAAAATATAGTGCAACAAAAATAGCATTAGTACTTTTGCCCACAATTATTTCTGTATACCCTTAGTGCCTAGTTATGGATCTCATTTCCATTGAAGAACCAGTCAATTTTAGATCACAGAGTGGGAAAACAGAATAGTTCCTAAGTATCTTCTTTGTAGCTGAAATCATGGATGCTTTCAGAAACATTACAGACTGTAAGTGAACGTTGGAGCTAGCTAAGACCAAGTTGTGACAATTTGCTTATAAAATATAAATAATAATAGTTCATTGAAGTAAATTATCTCTAAAAGACTTTCAGTTCATAAGCTAAAAATAGCGTATGAAAAGACAGTTTTAATATAAGAAGAAAAAAGATACTAATTCTTGATTTTAGTAAGTAGACAGTTGTAGTACATGGATGTTTTGTTAAATCTTTGTTGATACAGAATACATAATTTCCTTTTTCTGTTTGTGTGAGAAGTAAAGATTGAACAAAAATATGTGAGTGCTAAACTGTCTTTAAAAAGTAGATAACTATATCAAAAGCAGTAAGGACCAGTGGGCACCACGCAGAACAAGCAAATAGAAGATAAGCTCAGCCTTTGAGTAGCAGCTTTGGTAGTATACATTAATGAACTGAAAGTAGGAACTCAGCAGTGTTTTCTAAGATGACAGATTAAACAAACATCCCACCAGAAAGAGGTAATCACTTAGACTAATTTCCTCATCCCCTAGGATAAAATCTTAAGTCAGTGACTTGAAAACTATTTTGACCCAATCCATTGAGAAATGCATTTTTACATTGCAGCCCAGCACACACATATGTGTAACTGAAGCAAGAGTTGTACTTAACAATACTTACTTATCCATGTGTTATGCACTTTGATATCTCTTATTCTCTTTTACCCCTTCCTCTGTGTGTCTGTGTGTATTCCTTTCCCCCCCCACCCATCCAATACCGTTCAGGAAACACTACATTGATTTCATTACCTGCTAATGTGTTGCAACCCCTTTGAGATGATCCTACTAGTTATGATGAGATGCTTCTAATAAAAGTTACACCAGTAGAAAATGCCAATATTTCATAAGGCCAGGATGATGACTTAGATAGTACTAATAATACAACACTTTAGGAAAGTTCATTTCATTTTATTTTTAGGAAGGACACTAAGTTTCAAAAATTTAAATTTAAATGAAAGACGGTCTTAAAACTGTATTGCAAAAAGGACTTAGCTGAATAATCTGTGGCACAGGTTTAAATCACCTTGGACCACACCGCCATGTTCCAGGGCTCACCAGGAGCCATCCAGATGAGAGACCACCCAGCTCTTGTGACTTGACTAAGAAATCCATGTTATCAGCACATTTTTAACTGGATGTGATATAAGGTTAACATATTTTGTAATCATTGTATTTATAAATATTTTGTCTAAATGTTATGGTATTCCAAGTTTTCCAAAAGAATCAACCAAATACAAGTTATAAATAAATATTATATTTGTTACAGGAGTTAAGCTAAACAAATTTACAACCCAGATTTAGATACACAAGAAAATCAGTTTTTAAAGTTTTGTTTAATAGAAAGCAGTGTAATACATCAAACATTAAACAACTAAAAATGTATATGAATATTTATTTTCACACACAAAAGTCCCTCAAACATTGATTCTTAAATTCAAAACACCAAAGGCATTGTATATACCTTTTCATGTTTTCTAATTGTGAAGAAAATAAATTTTACTTAAAATGCTAATATTTGAATAAAGTATGCATTCATAATTATGTTCTTGTCTTTAAAGTTAATTTTTCAAACAGAACTAAATCAGTTTTATCTTCAGTAGATCTTTTAGAAAGGAAGCAATCCTACCTCATCTAATTAGAATTTAGTCCTACTAGGAAGATACGCTACAAATGTTTATTGTGGTAATCTTTGAATAGTAAAATGAAAGGTGATTTTGGTTTCCTTTTCTATATGTTCTTGTATTATATTTTTCAGGTTTTTCTCTAAGTTCTTCTCTGTGATTTTTAAATCAGGGAGGAAAAATTAATTCAGTCTAAACACCTAATGTTTCTTCTACAAGAAGTATCCTCATGGCTATTTTGTTATTTTGTTTCACTTGGGGGAAAATGGCTTTGTTGGCCTCAAATAGCTGCTTTATTAGATGCAATGAAGCAGGCGACATAGAAGCAAAAAGTAAAACAGCAGAAGAAGAAATGATGAAGATAATGATGACATTTTATACAGATGACTGCATTCACACATGCGATGTGACTGTATCTCTTTAAAATGTTAAGTCATCATTTACTGTCACTTTAAAGATTTAGTTAATAGTTTTTATAATGTGGTGCTTCAAGTAGACTCATTTTTAATTACAAATCCCATAGTTGATGGCTTGTTTATACAATGTGGTAGAGAAATCAGTGCATCTAGGAGCTACCTTGCCATTATCTCCATGGATTAGTATCTTTTTCTGGTAGTTCCACATGCTCTTTTTAAACTTTCATTTTCTTGTTTTCTTGTTTGTATTTTAAAATCTAATTTTTAAAATAGATAACATGTACACGTGGTCCAACATTTTTAAATAAAAGTATATGAAGATGAAGACATATGCCTACCATACACCTTACTCACCTGTGTCCCAGCTCCTGTTCCTCTTTCCCTTTGTTTTGTTTTTTTATAGCCTCCTAAAATTTCTTTATAAACATATGAATATATTTATAATTTTCAACTGTTTTACACTAAAGGCAGCCTCCTCTATAGTCTTCTTGACTTTGATTTTTTTTCCTTAAAATTGTATCTTGGAGAGTTTTCTACTATTAGTTTGAATGTAGAAAATTTTCTCTTTTTCTTGCTTTTCCTCTCTCTCTCTTTTTTTTAACAGCCACATAATATTCCAGTTTAGGGCTATACCTTAATTTATTTAGTCTTTTATAGATGGAAATTTAGGCTGTTTCCAGTCTTTTGCTCTTATAAACAGTGCTGCAATACATACCATTGAATATGCATCAATTTGCAGATGTGCGGGTGGACCTGAAGAAAAATTTCCAGAAGCAGAATTACCAGGTTGGGGTATACGCATTTGTATTTACGTAATGCTTGAGGTTCTGTGATGATAATCACTCTATGAAACATAAAAAATCATAGCAGAACTTCTGGGGCCTTAGCCCTTACATTTTAAAAATATTTTTATTAATAGTACCTGTCCTCCTTTGCATTAGGAGAAACATGAATCACATAAAACATGATTTTTATTTTATTTTGAAAATTTGTGTGCATCACTAAGCTGGAAATAAAAGTTCCTTATTCCAGGCTAAATTCCCTCATCCATAGTCAGATGTGTTATCCATTGCACCAGTGGCCTGTGCCCTCCCTAATCCTACTCTTTGTTTTACATCTTTGTAATAGTTACACAGACATCTTCATATCAAGGTGAAATTCTAAATAACATTGTTAATATAAGCTAGATAAATCAGGTAGTTAACTGGAATTTGATGAAAACATTTAAGGCTTAATTTTTTAGACTCACAAAAGCCACTGATCTTTAATGATAAACATATACCAGGATGTGTCTAAAGAATAACTCCCACCTTCTTGACACATGGCTTTTCTGTGTCTTGGCATTTCATCGCAGTACTGAGCATCCTGAACCTTGCTTTGTTTGTCTCTGTTGGGAATCACAGGTTGCATCCAGTCTGACCCAGATTTGCTCTGTAAGGCATTGTGGGGGCCAGAGTGGAAGGCTCTAAGAGAGGGGGCAAATGCCTTTTCTAAAATGCCCTTCGTTCTTATAATTAGAGCATAAAAATTTATGTTACATTTTTCTCTACTACCAGTGTAATTTAAAAGCATCTATCAATTCTCTGTATGTGCTTCATGTTAGATTTCTGGTCATATGTTTGATTTTCTTCTTAGAATAGTCTTGATTTCAGATAATTTCAAATCCAAAGCTCAAACAATTTCAATCTAAAATGTAGGTATTTTATTACAGTTAGAGAAGTGAAATGTTATATTTTTTCGTTGCATGCATCCGGCATATGAGTTGTAGTCTTGAATTTCCATAATGATCCTGTGAGGTGGATATGAGCTCAGCCTTACAGACAGGAAGACAGCCTCTGACCCTCCTTACATCCTCGTGGTTTTTGTCAGTCAGTTCATGGAAATCACAGTGATTTCAAGGTGTGGTAAGACAGGATGTGTACCCAGGCCCAGCTGACTCCAGAGGCCACTCTCAGTATTTCATAGCACATTGCTTCTCAGGAAACAGGTCATTGAGGAAATGCAGATGGGTTTGTGACTTACATTTAATTTTACTTATTTATATTTTATTGTATCATGTTTAAATTATTTTTCATCTGGATATCATCACAAAAGTGTTATTGAAGGCAACAATTGCAAATATATGTGCAGTGCTTTGCACTTATACAAAGATACAAAGATACTTACACAAAGATTGCGTTTTTCACTATTTAAAGAAATTTTCAGATGAAATACCAAGTTTTCTGGGTCTCTTTGGTTAGTCAAGTACTTGGAAGCTCTGAACAGTGATTATTTAGGACACTTTTCGTACCATTTAATTGCAAGCTCTCCTAATCTCTGTCAGCCCTTCATCTTTATGACCTTGCCTTGTCTACCAGAACACACATCCCTCTTACTAAAGGTAGCATTGTGCTACAGGCCCTAGCAGGGAATGTTTTCAGGTCTGGGACCCCTCTAATCAAAACTGTCACAAAGATGTCATTGGCACAAACACGTTATTTGTCATCACTGTCTAAGCAGCCCTGGAACTGGACTCTGGCCACAGAGATCCCTTAGGAGACATGAGTCCTTACCATTGCCAATTGCCTGTTCTGTGGGCAATCCTAATTGTTGAATGCAGATCAATTAACTTATGACATGTGATAGTAAACAGCTATCCAAACTTAGGAGGATATAAGAAGCTAGTAAAAGAGGTGGGTTCCAATTAATTAAAAACAAGTTGTGTAATGTTAAGAATTTTAATACTTTGGTAATAGTCTGTGCAATGTAAAATAGCTATTAAGCTTTCAATCTGATCAAATGAACACTTGTCTACTAGGGATAATTTGATCCTAGTGTATTCACTTGGAGGACAAAATTAAATTAATGATTGCTTTATAGCCTAGCAGGATCTGATGTGTAAAATGTTTCTGAAATAATTTTGTCTGTAGTGTTTCTGACACAAGGGCTGCAGAGGAAGCATGTGATAACACTTACTCATATAGATTATATATATGAAGTAAAAACACATAGCCAGAACCTGTCTTTTTCTGAATATAGTTGCTCAGTTAATTTTTTCTTCTGCATAAGAAATCATCTCGAATATTCTTATGTGATACGTAAAGTGGGGAAGGTGGAAGATAAACATATAACCCATTGGATTCTCTTTTCCAATATCTAGATTAGATCCTGTGCTGAAAGAGAAACCACGAAAAAAGATGACATTCAAGAAGAAGACAAAGGAAATGTAAAACAATGTGAAATCAATTATGTGTATGTATGCTTTTCCTTTTAGACCTACAGATTTGACAGTGAAGTGCTTCTCAAAGTGCTTTCAAAATAAATCACCTAATTAGCTGGGGATGGTGGTGCATGCCTGTAGGCCCAGCTACTCGGGAGGCTGAGACAGGAGGATTGTTTGAGCCCAGGAGTTCAAGGCTGCAGTGAGCTCTGATCACCACTGCATTCCAGCCTGAGTGACAGAGCAAGACCCTGTCTGAAAAAATGAAAACTGATGGACAAAAGAGGCAACACAATGTAGCCTCTGGGACAGAGCACTGAGCTAAATGCTTTTCTTTTCTTGAGGGTTCAGTTTTCCTAATCATCCTACCAGCTCCCAAAGCTAGTCACTGGGGTTAGTCAATCTCTCTATTCGTTCATGGAATGGGCATGATGCCAGTCAAAGGCTGTGCTATGGCCAGGACACAGAGGACTCCAGCCAGCATGCCCTAATAGAAGTAGGGCCTTGTGCTACCCAGTCAATGAGTGGCCCTCCTCTTGAGAGGTCACGAGGGTCATCTTTGTTGTTCAAATGCTTCAGCTTATTAAAAAAAATACAATTAGACTTTTTTTTTCTCCCCCAAGACGGAGTCTCGCTCTGTCCCCCAGACTGGAGTGCAGTGCCACGATCTTGGCTCATCACAACCTCCGCCTCCCAGGTTCATGTGATTCCCCTGCCTCAGCCTCCCAAGTAGCTGGGACTATTGGCACACGCCACTACGCTCGGCTAATTTTTGTATTTTTAGTAGAGACTGGGTTTCACCATGTTGACCAGGCTGTTCTCGAACTCCTGACCTCGAGTGATCTGCCTGCCTTGGCCTCCCAAAGTGCTGGGATGACAGGTGTGAGCCACTGCACCTGGCCTACAATTAGACTTTTTTAATAAGTGAAAAAGAAATTAACAGTATTTATAAATTTAATAGTAAATATGTATAATCAGAGTTTGAGGTATTTTTCAATGAAGACATTTTCTTTGCAGAAAGAAATTTCAGAGCTTCCAAGACCACAAACTTAAAATAAGTAAAGAAGACAGTAAAATTCTTAAAAAAGCTCAGAAAGATGGATTTTTGCATGAGACGCTTCTGGACAGGTAGCTATTTATTTACTTATTTTCACTATTTTCAGTAGCCAATAGAAATGGCATGTAGAAAACCTATATTCTCTTAAATTACTGTAGTTTTCACATTTTTGTCTTTATTTATAATTTATGAGTGTGGCAATATTACCTAGAGAGGACATCATGAGTTTGGGAAAAGACCATCAACAAAGAATATCTAAAAATTATAACCAATTCTAAGTATATACTTTAAGAAATTCAGGTTTGACTGTATCTACTTCATAAATTTATCATTATCTTTTTATAACTATTAGAACCAGAGTTAGAAAGAAGCAGTTTGGCTAATATAAAAATTATGTGGATTCTGTTAGAGTAGTTCAGGTTCTTTAAAATAAGCATATATCAACTAACAAACTAAATATAAAAGCTAAACAAGTGAAATTGAAGCAGTTTTATTGTAAGATTTGGAAGAGTGCAGGATGTTTATCATAGCACATTATTAATATTTATTACTCTTCCTATGTAGATAAGTAATGTCCTAGATTTACACCATAGAAAAACAGGTAGAGACGTTTAGCTGTGAGTGTACAAGTATAAATCAATTAAGTGCCAGATTTTGATCATCACCAGTCGCTCATTCAAGTCCTATGTTGCAAAGTTACTCTTACCCTTTTTTTACATTACTTGATAAAGGCAATGTTTAATTACATATTTCCTGTTAACTAGCTGGTAGAGTTCATACGTAAAGTCAGTAAATGTTACAAATTTTTTCCAGCTGAGCAAATGAATATGTATCTAGTTGTAAGAAATCAAGAAGAGGATATAAAATATAATCAGGATATGGACTCTAAAACGGAATAAGCTCCATGTCCTGTAACTTTTCTCACTTGTAATAATACAGCATTCTCACCCTGTTAAATGGAAATTTAGAGCACCCTTAAATTCCGGAATAATTAAAATTGCTATTTGGATTGAAAAAGCCCTTAGGCAACATTTATTGAATATTAGGAAATAACTTTTATAGGATTAGAATCCATTTTTTATAGCAACCAAATTTAAAAGTATACATATTTTAATATAAGTGTTGTGGTAATACAGTAACCAAAATTGAACACACAGTTTTAAAGCTTTTTATATTTAGTAGCAGTTGAATATATATGGTATGTTTTACATAGATTAATTTTACTATTTTTCTTTGTTTAAACAAGAGGGCCAAATTGAAAGCCAACAGATACAGCAAATGACTGGGATTTTTGTTTCTGCCTTATCTTTTTGTGTTTTTTTCTGAATAAAATATTCGGAGGAAATGCTTTTACAGAGTTCTTGAGTTGTTGTGAAATTATTGTTTAGCTAGTAGCTAGTTTAACCAGGATTAAACAAGTTTAATCAGGATTCTTCATGGATGTACTTTTTAGCTAACTACAGTTTTTCACATGGAAATGAAACTTACAGTACACACTTAACGTACCACAGAATTATTTTCTGGGTTTCCTGTCCTGAAGCATGAAGTGCACTAGAAACCAATTCTTCCTGCGCTACTTGTGGAAACTTTCTTACTGGATCATAATCTTACTTTACTTTATACAATAGATGCTTAATCAGTGCCTTTAATAGGAAGTTAGAAACTCCCAATCCAATCAACAAGGCTTTGATTCTACCTCCTAAGTACTACCCAGATCACAGACAATCCAAATATTAGAACTAGGGGGCTGGGCAGAGAAGACAAATCATCTATTAGGGAGTGGATCAGAAAGTGGAAACATTACAAAGGAGCAAGTAGGCTCAGAACAGAGGGGAGAGTAGTACTGAGGAAACTCCCTACTGAGGACAGATTTGCCACAGTGGATATGTATGTGATGCTTTTGTCCTCCTGGCCTGGAATGGAAGCTGATAAAGAAGTTCAGACGCTACGTGTTGCTTAGGTCTGCTTTGTTGAAGCCTGTCTCTTTCAGAGTTCCTAAACACAATATTCCCATGGCATCTAATCCCAGTGAGTGCTCCAAAGCCAGGCTGTGTATCAGATGCCACGGGAAATTCTGCCTCAGGAGTGAGATTGGTTTAAGCATCTGGATGATGTCAAAAGTCCACGTTGTGTGCTGGCCTAACCTGAAAGACCCTATCTAGTTCTAGCCTTTAAATTCCTTCTGTCACCAAATCTAGAGTTACATGGCATCTGTACAAGCTAGGTAGCTGAGGCATGGAATCAGCCCTATAAAGGAGCTTTTGGAGCTTTTGTTGTAGATCTAGCTTCAACTTGGCACTCCAGTTCCAATAGCTGGACTTTCTCTCATCTTGTGTTCTGATCCTTGGATTGGGAACAAAGTAACCACTCTGATCCCACAAAGCAGTGGTTCCAGTTCCCAACTGGTGACTATTTTGCCTCCCAGGGGACATTTTTGGTTTTCACAACTGGAATACGGTGTTAGAGAGTAGAGGTTAGGGATGCTGCAAAGCATATGGCAGAATCCTGTTCCACCCAGAATGCTAACAGTGCCAAGGTTATGGAGTCTTCCCACCCAAGGGCTTGGTCTATTCCTTGCTTTTGCCAGCTCCCTAACCCTTAAACACAACAGTTCAAATCTATATGCATAAGCATCTCCTAGGGACCTGCACGTTTCCAATATTGACTACTGAGACCCATCCGTAGAGATTCAGGCTTAGGAGGTCTAGGATTGGGCTCAAAATTTGCATTTTAATAAGTACTCCAGGTCATTCTGAAGCAAGTGATAGAAACCACAGAATGAGGAACACCACCTTCAAGAGACTGATTCTTGCTTCCCAACACTAGCTTGGTATCTGAGACCATCTGCCTGCCGACTGGCTTTCCTGGCACAAACATTCTGCATGTAGGCACAGTGTGTTCCTGGACTCCATGCCAACCCGTTCACCCTCATGTTCCCTTGGTTCCTGTCCCCAGTCCAGCGAGCAGAACTGATTACAGATCTTGACAACAGAAGATACAGATTTAAAATAACTTGCCTGTTCCCGTGGACTTTATCCACTAGTGAAGGAGGACAAGTGGACAAGGGGAGAGGGTAGGTGGGGACTGCTTCCCTATTCCTCCCATTCCACTTTATACAAACCGCAGCTAGACCACTGGGAGAACAACGGAGGTTAAGAATGACTTCATCTAAATATTGTCATCTGGTCCACTCTTCTTCCATCTTGTACACAAGGATATCAGGAGTTTTGTTTAAAGCACTACTGAAACCAAGATAAACTCTGGCTTAGCATGCCACTGACGGATCAGTCTAGTAATCTTATCAAAACCAAGATTACTTAAAAGCACTAACCAAAGGAAAAGCTCCCTCACCCCAACCTATGACTGCTCACATTTTTCAGATTGAATCATTTCAATTGTATTTTAAGGTTCATTGACTCTTTACCACCTCCAAGCTGCTCCTGAACACAACTGATTATTATTTTTTAATTTTGAAAACGTTCTCACTTCTAGAATTTCCACTTGAGCCTTTGTTATTATTGTAGTTTCTTCTTCTCTGCTGTGATTTCCTATCCATTTATTTTAAGGGTTTTTGGGGTTTTGATTTTAGTAAGAATTACAATAACTACTTTAAAAATCCACACTAATTCCAACATCTGGGTCATCTCGAGGTCAGTCTCTATTGATTGCCTTTTTCTTTGAATATGTTTCTTTATACATTTGTTATAATGGGATTGAATTCTGAAGATTGTAAAACTAGATTTTGTTTTGTTCCTCTGAAAATTTTGATAATTTTTTGTTGTATTTGTTGTATTTTGTTTTTTTTTCTATTGTATACTTTACAATATATTTTCCTCCAATGGTTTTAACATATCTATTTCTCAAAATATTTATGTTTATGTTAAAAATTATACAAAGTAGCCTGGTGCAGTGGCTCCTGTCTGTAATCCCAGAACTTTTAGAGGCCAAGGCAAGAGGGTCACTCGAGCCCAGGAGTTGGAAACCAGCCTAGACAACAGGGCAAGACCCTGTCTCCACAAAAAATTATTAGGGTGGTACAAAAAGTAATTGCAGGTTTTGCCGTTACTTTCAATGGCAAACCCCGCAATTACTCTTGCACCAACCTGATAAAAAATAAGCTGGGTATGGTGGTGGCCTGTGCCTGTGGTCTCAGCTATTTGGGAAGTGAAGGCAGAGGTGGGAGGATTGCTTGAGCCCAGGATTTCCAGACCAGTCTAAGACCCTGTCTCTGAGAAAAAAAAAATAAAATTAGCTGGGCCCACGTACCTGTGGTACTAGCTACTTGGGAGGCAAAGGCAAAGGTGCCAGAATCACTTGAGCCCAGAAGCTCAAGGCTGCAGGGCATTGTGATTGTGCCACTGCACTCCAGCCTGGGTGATGGAGCACGACCCTGACTCCAAATAATAATAATAATTACAAGAAGGAAAGACCTAGAACACCATGTTAGGGTTAAGTATTCTAAAATTTAGCTGACTTACACTGTTCTCTATAAAACAGGTTGCCACAGAAAATATAGCATGCCCAGTTAATTTGAAATTTCAGATAAACAAATACTTTTTTTAGTGTAAGTATATCCCATGTAATATTTGGGACATGGTTATACTAAAATATTATTGCTTGTTTATCTGAAATTGAAATTTAACTGGGTATTACATAATTATAGCAGCCTGACCATAAAAGATGTAGGCTGAGCAAAATTCTACTTTAAACTTCAAGCTTTATACTAAATGCATTATTAATCAAGAAATATTATTTACTGAGACCTGTGTAGATCCCCATATTTATCTTTTTAAATGTGGAACTAGGAAAGCTACATAAAAAAGCATTTATAGAAATAAATGACTGTTCTATAGCTGAAAGGAAAACTCTAGCTTTTATTTTTCTCCCCAAACTTAAGCTTTATTCTACATTTGTATAAACAATAAAATTACAGCTCAACTTTGGAAGCACAAATCATAATATAAAAATAAAGCAAAGATCCCAGAAATATTTAACAGGCAACAAATCTTTCACATCATCTTACTATAGCAACTAAACATATAATAACTTAGAATGATCCATTAATTATAAGTAAAGAATAAATTCTTTTACAAAGCATAACTATTAATATTATTGACCATCATAAGAGCAAATATTTTAAGTAAAACACCATGAATACTTTACAGAAAGGAGCGAGTTGCGACAGTCATTCTTGGATTTCTTTCAACAGCCGGCTTTCTTCCCTTTTGTCCTGAACTAGGAGTTGAATATTTTCTCTCTTTCCCCACTGACCCTCTAGTCTCTGAAGCATCTTTTGTACTAGAGGTATGTGGAGAGACTTCCTGGAAATTTGGATTTGTAAATTGTGCTGTTGTATCTTCTAGGCACGGCAGTGATCCAGATATAGAGCCGTTGCTCTTGCTTCTATAAGTGTAATATTTTGATTCAAAAAAGGAAGTAAAAGGAAGAGAGTTGATTACATTTGGCTACTGACATTAATAATAATAAATAATAATTGTACTTGTAATATAAACATCCGAAAGTTTTAGTTATAAGAATGGCTGTCCACATAATAAAATTATGTAAAAATAATTAATGTCTATTATAATTACTTTTCTTTAACCGAAGAAAAAGTACAATTTAAAGACGGCTGTTTAAGGATCAAATTGCAGCAATTGGTAAAAGTAGATATTTGTCGTATTTATTAAGTGACACACAGTGATACTGAAGGCACTTATTTCTCAAGAAACATCATTTTTTTCCCAACAAGAACATACTACATCCTAGACATGAAATGAAAATAAGCTTTAATTTTCACTACGGGAGGGCGACAATCAGAGAACTGAGGTGGTACAGATCCATTAGAGGACAATATCCATGAGTCTATCAGTCTCTACTATAGGACAGAGCAAGAATTTTTAAAGAATCTCGGTGAAGGCTCCTTTTCAAAAAAATACAAAGATTAAAGCCTTTGAAATGTAAATTATTTTTTCCAGTTATTACATTGAGGACAAAGTTATAGTTGCAAAGTTAAGATTTTTATAACTATCCCTAAAATTGATTCTCAGTGACTCCCTTGATCTACATATGTTAAGGAAAAAGGCAAGATGAAGATGTGTTAAATATTTTCCAGTTTTTAATAATCAGCTTTAATATAAGGTACACCCAAATAATGGTGAATTAAATGACCATGAAAGTATGTTATAGCAGATGCCCACTCATCAACATGCCTTGAAATTAAAGGTTTATAAGGTGCACAAGGGCAAAGTTTTTGATGTTGCCATTACATTCACGAAAGTATCTCAGGCACGTACAGCATGAAGTTCACTAAGTGCTTGCAACATAACCAGCACTAAATTTTGTTGAATAAATAAATGAATACTTTTGTATAGCATCTGTTCAAAATCTCTGATGTAAAAATGAAAATAATCTGAAAATATGCAAAACCGACATTTCCCACATAGGTCTGCCAATTCGTACAAACAATAAGATGAATTTCAAAATGAGAACATGACAGTAAAATCAAGTTTCAAAATGACTGGTCTTTTTTAGCAAAACCTATGTTCAAAAAAAGGAATAAGACATCAAATGTTTTGAGAATCAAAATTTTACTGCTGCTTTTCTAACACCCTGTTGTTAACCTGAGCCTCCATCCTCTTACTGTCAATAATAGATTTTCATGATAAAATACAAGAAACAGGCCCGGTGCCTGTTAATAACAGATTTTCATCATCAAATACAAGAAACAGGCAGGGCACGGTGGCTCACACCTGTAATCCTAGCACTTTGGGAGGCTGAGGCGGGTGGATCACTTGAGGTCAGGAGTTTGAGACAAGCCTGGCCAACATGGTGAAGCCTCATCTCTACTAAAAATACAAAAATTAGCTGGGTGTGGTGGGAGGTGCCTGTAATCCCAGCTACTCAGGAGGCTGAGTCAGGAGAATCGCTTGAACCTGGGAGGTGGATGTCGCAGTGAACTGAGATTGAGCCACTGTACTCCAGCCTGGGTGACAGAGCAAGACTCTGCCTTAAAAAAAAATAAATAAAAATACAAGAAACATCTCATAAAAACTAAATAATCACTGTTCTAACAAACCACAATCCACGAACAAGAATGGAAGTTTCAAAAGTAAGTTTAAAAGAAAAAAAATTTCATTTTACAAACCACTCATTTTTAAGCTGATAAAACTCCATGGCTTCCTTAAGAAACAAGATCCTTTCAATGCTGAGCAGGTCAGTTTTGAAACTACCCCACCTCATTTTTCAGTACTTTTTCCAAAAGTACTTGAGTTGATCCTGAGGTTCTCTATTTCTCTCACATTTGATCCTTGCATGACTTACTGAAGTTGAAAAGTTATTTAAGAAAACACAGTGGTGTTCTTCACTCATGTAATTTGTTCATGTATCAAAGGATGGAGACAAAGCTGGATGAAATGCTACAAAATTAAACCTACTCTTCACTTCCACATGACAATATAAATTCGGGAGGATTAATTTTCCCATTTATTTAACAGAACATCCTTGCTCACACTCTAAAGTATAAATCTGTTCATGAAACCAATGAAAGCATGATATTTGAAAGAAATGGTATTACAAAGAAAGCAATGAATGAAGCAATCAAATTGCAGTGACAAAAATCGTATAAATAAAACCGTTATGGAGCATTTAAAAAAATCTACACTTAAGTTAAAAAAAGTATTAGACTTAATACAAAAAAATGAATTTTAGCTTCAGATGTTAGCAATTTTTAAAAATTATACATAATGACCACCCCCCAAAGGCAATGTAGGGTTCATTCAAAGAAGAACCCCTACTTTCAAAGAAGAACTTCTACTTCTCTGTGTTTGAATGTAAATTTAAAAGTACTTGTTTCATAATGTGCTGTTGAGACAATATGACATTGGGAAATTCCATTATAAATATACAGAAATCAACTCAAAATCAAGGAGAAGAAAGTGATGAAAGGAGAGGGAGAGGGGAAGTGGCTGAAAGACACACAGTGAGTAATCCCAAGACTATGTTCACAAAATCTTGTTTTCTCACTTTCACATCCTAAATGCCTCTCAGAGTATGAACATCTCACTGCTCTGAGTGTAATTATCATGCTTAAAATCTTATTTTTGAAGAACGTTAGATGATAAAATGCAAACTATTTGGTACTCAACTGTTCTTTTCTACTAGAGAAACCTGGATATTTGTCGTTATTGAGAGTCTCTAAAGTACTGCATAAATACTTTGGTCTACATTGTGATTTACAGGCAACTTAATGAATCTTTTGAAAGGGTAATTTAGAAATATGTGATTTTTGCTTCATGGCCAACTATAATTATTAGTCCTCAAGTAAGCATCAACACAAATATCCCTACTCAATAGCATTAAGTGGGAACAAAAAATATTTCCTGCTTTAAACAAAAAATTAAAGCTAGATTCAGAATTAAATAATGACTCTATAATATGTAACCAAAAAAGCAGTTATGATTTTTTTAAACGTGGTATGGAGTCTTACAAGGCTTAGATGAGTCTGCAAGGCTCTGTCATCTACATTGGTAAGAGTGAGGCAGAAAAAAGAGGAACAGCCAAGAGCTTTCCTTCAAACATGAGTAAACATAGTGTGTTGGTTAAAATTTTTAAATAAAATTTGGTACTATTCAAATGTCTCAAGAAAGCCACAGAGTCACACCAGGCCAACCCTGCGAACACAGTAGAAACCAACCAGCGTAAATCACAGAAAGAAAGTACACATTAAAAAAAAAATCAGTGAGCTGTAGAACAACTTTTAGTAGCATAACTTACATGTTATTGGAATACCCAAAGGAGAATAAACAAAGCAAAACAAAACAAAAGCTAAAAAACCCCAGAAAATTGAAGAAATAATAGTAGGAAAAAAATACAAAATTGATGAAAACAATAAACCCACAGTTTTAAGAATCTCAAATAACCTCAAGCACAAGAAATGTGAAGAAAACTATATGAATGCAGTTCACTTTCAAACCACTTATCACTAAAAAAACAAAGATAAGTAGAAAATCTTTTAAAAAAAACAGGATTTTTTTAAGGATGTCTTATGTGCTTAAAAAAAAAAATGAGAGAAAAATTTTCCATAGGAATGTCTTAATCTAGAAAACAGAAGTGTACTAAAAAATCTAGAAAACAGAAGACTAGGTGGAGCCAAGATGGCCAAATAGGAACAGCTCCAGTCTACAGCTCCCAGCGTGAGTGACACAGAAGACAGATGATTTCTGCATTTCCAACTGAGGTACCAGGCTCATCTCACTGGGGAGTGCTGGACAGTGGGTGCAGGACAGTGGGTGCAGTGCATGGTGCATGAGCCGGGCGAGGCATCATCTCACCCGGGAAGTGCAAGGGGTCAGGGAATTCCCTTTCCTAGTCAAAGAAAGGCGTAACAGAAGGCACCTGGAAAATCGGGTCACTCCCACCCTAATACTGCACTTTTCCAATGGGCTTCACAAACGACACACCAGGAGATTACATCCCGCACCTGGCCCAGAGGGTCCTACGCCCACGGAGCCTCGCTCATTGCTAGCACATCAGTCTGAGATCAAACTGCAAGGTGACAGTGAGGCTGGGGGAGGGGCGCCCTCCATTGTTCAGGCTTGAGTAGGTAAACAAAGTGGGAAGCTCGAACTGGGAGGAGCCCACCACAGCTCAAGGAGGCCGGCCTGACTCTGTAGGCTCCACCTATGGGGGCAGGGCACAGACAAGCAAAAGACAGCTATAACCTCTGCAGACTTAAATGTCCCTGTCCCACAGATATGAAGAGAGTAGTGGTTCTCCCAGCATGCAGCTTGATGTCTGAGAATGGGCAGACTGCCTCCTTAAGTGGGTCCCTGACTCCTGAATAGCCAAACTGGGAGGCACCCCCCAGTAGGGGCGGACTGACACCTCACACGGCTGGGTACTCCTCTGAGACAAACTTCCGCAGGAATGATCAGGCAGCAGCATTTGCAGTACACCAATATCCGCTGTTCTGCAGCCTCCACTGCTGATACCCAGGCAAACAGGGTCTGAAGTGGACCTCCAGCAAACTCGAACAGACCTGCAGCTGAGGGTCCTGATGTTTAGAAGGAAAACTAACAAACAGAAAGGACATCCACACCAAAACCCCATCTGTACGTCACCATCATCAAAGACCAAAAGTAGATAAAACCACAAAGATGGGGAAAAAACAGAGCAGAAAAACTGGAAACTCTAAAAAGCAGAGCACCACTCCTACTCCAAAGGAATGCAGTTCCTCACCAGCAATGGAACAAAGCTGGACACAGAATGACTTTGATGAGTCGAGAGAAGAAGGCTTCAGAAGATCAAACTACTCTGAGCTACAGGAGGAAATTCAAACCGAAGGCAAAAAAGTTAAAAACTTTGAAAAACATTTAGACGAATGTGTAACTAGAATAACCAATACAGAGACGTGCTTAAAGGAGTTGATGGAGCTGAAAGCCAAGACACGAGAACTATGTGAAGAATGCAGGACTCAGGAGCTGATGTGATCAACTGGAAGAAAGGGTATCAGTGATGGAAGATGAAATGAATGAAATGAAGTGAGAAGGGAAGTTTAGAGAAAAAAGAAGAAAAAGAAACGAAAAAAGCCTACAAGAAATATGGAACTATGTGAAAAGAACAAATCTACGTCTGATTGGTGTACCTGACAGTGACGAGGAGAATGGAACCAAGTTGGAAAACACTCTGCAGGATATTATCCAGGAGAACTTCCCCAATCTAGCAAGGCAGGCCAACATTCAGATTCAGGAAATACAGAGAATGCCACAAAGAACGCCACAAAGAATGCCTCGAGAAGAGTAACTCCAAGACACATAATTGTCAGAATCACCAAAGTTGAAATGCAGGAAAAAATGTTCAGGGCAGACAGAGAGAAATGTCGGGTTACCCTCAAAGGGAAGCCCATCAGACTAACAGCGGATCTCTCGGCAGAAACTCTACAAGCCAGAAAAGAGTGGGGGCCAATATTCAACGTTCTTAAAGAAAAGAATTTTCAACTCAGAATTTCATTTCCAGCCAAACTAAGCTTCATACGTGAAGGAGAAATAAAATACCTTACTGACAAGAAAATGCTGAGAGATTTTATCACCACCAGGCCTGCCCTAAAAGAGCTCCTGAAGGAAGCACTAAACATGGAAAGGAACAACCGGTACCAGCCGCTGCAAAATTATGCCAAAATGTAAAGACCGTCAAGGCTAGGAAGAAACTGAATCAACTAACGAGCAAATAATCAGCTAACATCATAATGACAGGACCAAATTCACACATAACTATATTAACTTTGAATATAAATAGACTAAATGCTCAAATTAAAAGACACAGAATGGCAAATTGGATAAAGAGTCAAGACCCATCAGTGTGCTATATTCAGGAAACCCATCTCAGGTGCAGAGACAGACATACGCTCAAAATAAAAGGATGAAGGAAGATCTACCAAGCAAATGGAAAACAAAAAAAGTCAGGGGTTGCAATCTTAGTCTCTGATAAAAAAGACTTTAAACCAAGAAAGATCAAAAGACACAAAGACGGCCGTTACATAATGTTAAAGGGATCAATTCAACAAGAAGAGCCAACTATCCTAAATATATATGGACCCAATAGAGGAGCACCCAGATTCATACGGCAAGTCCTGAGTGACCTACAAAGAGACTTAGATACCCACACAATAATAAGGGGAGAATTTAACACCGCACTGTCAACATTAGACAGATCAACAAGACTGAAAGTTAACAAGGATACCCAGGAATTGAACTCAGCTCTGCACCAAGCGGACCTAATAGACATCTACAGAACTCTCCACCCCAAATCAACAGAATATACATTTTTTTCAGCACCACACCACACCTATTCCAAAATTGACCACATATTTGGAAGTAAAGCTCTCCTCAGCAAATGTAAAAGAACAGAAATTATAACAAACTGTCTCTCAGACCACAGTGTAATCAAACTAGACCTCAGGATTAAGAAACTCACTCAAAACTGCTCAACTACATGGAAACTGAACAACGTGCTCCTGAATGACTACTGGGTATATAACAAAATGAAGGCAGAAATAAAGATGTTCTTTGAAACCAATGAGAACAAAGACACAACATACCAGAATCTCTAGGACACATTCAAAGCAGTGTGTAGAGGGAAATTTATAGCACTAAATGCCCACAAGAGAAAGCAGGAAAGATCCAAAATTGACACCTTAACATCACAATTAAAAGAATTAGAAAAGCAAGAGCAAACACATTCAAAAGCTAGCAGAAGGCAAGAAATAACTAAAATCAGAGCAGAACTGAAGGAAATAGAGACACAAAAAACCCTTCAAAAAATTAATGAATTCAGGAGCTGGTTTTTTGAAAGGATCAACAAAATGGATACACTGCTAGCAAGACTAATAAAGAAGAAAAGAGAGAAAAATCAAATAGATGCAATAAAAAATGATAAAGGGGATATCACCACCGATCCAATAGAAATACAAACTACCATCAGAGAATACTACACACACCTCTATGCAAATAAACTAGAAAATCTAGAAGAAATGGATACATTCCTCGACACATACACTCTCCCAAGACTAAACCAGGAAGAAGTTGAATCTCTGAATAGACCAATAACAGGCTCTGAAATTGTGGCAATAATCAATAGCTTACCAACCAAAAAGAGTCTAGGACCAGATGGATTCACAGCCGAATTCTACCAGAGTTACAAGGAGGAACTGGTACCATTCATTCTGAAACTATTCCAATCAATAGAAAAAGAGGGAATCCTCCCTAACTCATTTTATGAGGCCAGAATCATCTTGATACCAAAGCCTGGCAGAGACCCAACAAAAAAAAGACAATTTTAGACCAATATCCTTGATGAACATTGATGCAAAAATATTCAATAAAATACTGGCAAACTGAATCCAGCAGCACATCAAAAAGCTTATCCACCATGATCAAGTGGGATTCATCCCTGGGATGCAAGGCTGGTTCAATATACACAAATTAATATATGTGATCCAGCATATAAACAGAACCAAACACAAAAACCACATGATTATCTCAATAGATGCAGAAAAGGCCTTTGACAAAATTCAACAACCCTTCATGCTAAAAACTCTCAATAAATTAGGTATTGATGGGATGTATCTCAAAATAATAAGAGCTATCTATGACAAAACCACAGCCAATATCATACTGAATGGGCAAAAACTGGAAGCATTCCCTTTGAAAACTGGCACAAGACAGGGATGCCCTCTCTCACCACTCCTATTCAACATATTATTGGAAGTTCTGGCCAGGGCAATTAGGCAGGTGAAGGAAATAAAGTCTATTCAATTAGGAAAAGAGGAAGTCAAATTGTCCCTGTTTGCAGAAGACATGATTGTATATCTAGAAAACCCCATTGTCTCAGCCAAAATCTCCTTAAGCTGATAAGCAACTTCAGCAAAGTATCAGGATACAAAATCAATATGCAAAAATCACAAGCATTCTTATACACCAATAACAGACAAACAGAGAGCCAAATCATGAGTGAAATCCCATTCACAACTGCTTCAAAGAGAATAAAATAACTAGGAATCCAACTTAAAAGGGACGTGAAGGACCTCTTCAAGGAGAACTACAAACCACTGCTCAGTGAAACAAAAGAGGATACAAACAAATGGAGGAACATTCCATGCTCATGGGTAGGAAGAATCAATATCATGAAAATGCCCATACTGCCCAATTAATTTATTGATTCAATGCCATCCCCATCAAGCTACCAATGACTTTCCACACAGAATTGGAAAAACTACTTTAAAGTTCATATGGAACCAAAAAAGAGCCCGCATCACCAAATCAATCCTAAGCCAAAAGAACAAAGCTGGAGGCATCACGCTACCTGGCTTCAAACTATACTACAAGGCTACAGTAACAAAAACAGCATGATACTGGTACCAAAACAGAGATATAGACCAATGGAACAGAACAGAGCCCTCAGAAATAATGCCACGTATCTACAACTATCTGATCTTATAAAACCTGAGAAAAACAAGCAATGGGGAAAGATTCCCTATTTAATAAATGGTGCTGGGAAAACTGGCTAGCCATGTGTAGAAAGCTGAAACTGGATCCCTTCCTTACACCTTATACAAAAATTAATTCATGATGGATTAAAGACTTAAACGTTTCACCTAATACCATAAAAACCCTAGAAGAAAACCTAGGCATTACCATTCAGGACATAGGCATGGGCAAGGACTTCATGTCGAAAACACCAAAACCAATGGCAACAAAAGCCAAAATTGACAAATGGGATCTAATTAAACTAAAGAGCTTCTGCACAGCAAAAGTAACTACCATCAGAGTGAATAGGCAACCTACAAAATGGGAGGAAATTTTCTCAACCTACTCATCTGACAAAGGGCTAATATCCAGAATCTACAATGAACTCAAACAAATTTACAAGAAAAAAACAAACAACCCCATCAAAAAGTGGGCAAAGGATATGAACAGACACTTCTCAAAAGAAAACATTTATGCAGCCAAAAAACACATGAGAAAATGCTCATCATCACTGGCCATCAGAGAAATGCAAATCAAAACCACAATGAGATATCATCTCACATCAGTTAGAATGGTGATCATTAAAAAGTCAGGAAACAACAGGTGCTGGGGAAGATGTGGAGAAATAGGAAAACTTTTACACTGTTGGTGGGACTGTAAACTAGTTCAACCATTGTGGAAGTCTGTGTGGTGATTCTGGGATCTAGAACTAGAAATACCATTTGACCCAGCCATCCCATTACTGGGTATATACCCAAAGGATTATAAATCTTGCTGTGATAAAGACACAAGCACACGTATGTTTATTGCAGCACTATTTACAATAGCGAAGACTTGGAACCAACCCAAATATCCAACAATGATAGACTGGATTAAGAAAATGTGGCACATATACACCATGGAATACTATGCAGCCATAAAAAATGAAGAGTTCATATCCTTTGTAGGGACATGGGTGAAGCTGGAAACCATCATTCTCAGCAAACTATCACAAGGATAAAAAACCAAACACCGCATGTTCTCCCTTAGAGGTGGGAATTGAACAATGAGAACACTTGTACACAGGAAGGGGAACATTACACACTGGGGACTGTTGTCGGGTGGGGGGACGTGAGAGGGATAGCATTAGGAGATATACCTAATGCTAAATGACGAGTTAATGGGTGCAGCACACCAACATTGCACTTGTATACATATGTAACAAACCTGCACGTTGTGCACATGTACCCTAAAACTTAAAGTATAATAAAAAAAAAAGTCAAGAAACAACAGATGCTGGCAAAGCTGTGGAGAAATAAACACTTTTACACTGTTGGCAGGAATGTGAATTAGTTCCATCATTGTGGAAGACAGTTTGGCGATTCTGCAAGGATCTAGAACCAGAACGACCATATGACCCAGAAATCCCATTACTGAGTATATATCCAAAGGACTGTAAATCATTCTATTATAAAGATATATGCATGCGTATGTTTATAGCAGCACTATTCATAATAGCAAAAACATGGACTCAATCCAAATGCCCGTCAGTGATACACTGGATAAAGAAAATGTGGTACATACACACCATGGAATACTATGCAGCAATAAAAAGGAATGAGATCATGTCTTTTGCAGGGATATGAATGAATCTGGAAGCCATCATCTTCAGCAAACTAATACAGGAACAGAAGACCAAACACCGCATATTCTCACTCATAAGTGGGAGCTGAATAATGAGAACACAGGGACACAGGGAGGGGAACAACACACACTGGGGCCTGTCGTTGGGGACAGGGAGGGAGAGCATCAGGATAAATAGCTAACGCATGTGGGGCTTAATACCTAGGCGGTGGGTTGATAAGTACAGCAAATCATCATAGTGCACGTTTACCCATGTAACAAACCTGCATGTCCTGCACATGTATCCTGGAACTTAAAATAAAATTTAAAAAAATAAAATAAAAAGAAAACAGAAGAGCACTGAAAATTGGCTCACACTTCCACAGCCTGTACAGCAAGCATGATGCTGACATCTGCTCAGCTTCTGGGGAGGCCTCAGGAAACTTAACAATCATGGTGGAAGGGAAAGCAAGATCAGGAGGAAGAGAGAGAGGGGGAAGGTCCTACACACTTTAGCAACAAGATCTCATGAGAACTCTATCACAAGAACAGCGCTAGGGGGATGATGCTTAACCATTAGAAACTGCTCCCATGGACCAGCCACCTCCCAGCAGGCCCCATCTCCTACAGTGGGAACCACTGGAAGCTGCTCCCATGGACCAGCCACCTCCCAGCAGGCCCCATTTCCAACACTGGGGATTACATTTCTATATAAGTTTCCAATAATTTTGGAATACATACTAATAACATATTTATAAAAATACGGTCCAAAGTAGACCAAACACCATTCACTCTTCTATTTGAAAGTTTTCCTTCTATTCTAATGTCACAATCTCCAGCGTTATTAAGCAGAATCCTGCATTTAAGGTCATCTGTTAGATTTTATAGCTGATTATAAAACCATTATTTAAAGAGGACCAAAATGAGACAACAACTGTCTGTGGATGACAAAAACATTAAAGACAGCCATAGTTGAAGACACGAACAACAGCCTTTAAAATAGAATTTGCTGTAGAGCCTATTATGAGGGAGACATTTCTAGTTATTACCTCTTTTATTCTAAACCATGGAAAAAGGACCTATCAAATAAAGTCCTTCTAGAAGAGTGAAGGGCTCCTGGCAATGTTCTCTTTAATCCATGACGTGGGATAAGTGGAGTTTTGACTGATTATGAGGCAATGTATATGCCACTAAAGTTTCAACACCCTAAAAGCAATAAAAAAGATGGAGGGAAGTCCTAGAAGAACCAGATGGAGCCGTAGCAGAAGATGATTTCAATCCACTGACCCCTGAATTGTGGGCTGGTTGTGCTGCATCGCACTGATGGTTCTGCCGCAACAAAGATCTAATTCCCAGGGTTATAGGAAAAGACACCTGCGGTACCCCTGAGGCAGAGAAGGGAGAAATCCAAACCTAAGTCTAGGGTTCTTAAACCACACAATCTGCTCACAAGCAGGACCTTAACTCTGAAGATACTGATTTGGGGCTGTTTCAAATAAAAAAATTATAAATATGAGTGGGAAAGAGAACAACCTTCCCCATATCCAGTGACAAAAAAATGAGGGAGAGGGAAGGAAGGAAGGAAGGAGGGAAGGAAGGAGAGAGGGAAGGAAGGAAGGAAGTAGGGAGGGAGGTAGGGATGGAAGGAAGGAAGGAGAGAAGGAAGGGAGGAATGAAGGAAGGAGAGAGGGAAGGAGGGCAGGAAGGAATGAAGGAAAGGAGGAAGTAAGGAGAGAGGGAAGGAGGGAGGGAGGGAAGGAAGGAAGGAGAGAGGGAAGGAAGGAGAGAGGGAAGGAAGGAAAGAAGGAAGGAAGGAAGGAAAGAGGAGGGAAGGAAGGAGGGAAGGAAAGAAGGAAGGAAGAAAGGAAGGGAAGGAACTTGGATATGCACAAAAACAAAATTTAAATTAAAACGGAAGTCTATCATCTGACCTAACTGGAAATGTACTATCTTCTAAAACAATTTATATAGTCCAAAGATAAAAGGGTGCTGACTGGTATTTGTAACTCTCCAGCATATATTCTGAATCAATTTAACATCTGCTGAAATCTACCAATTGGTATACCTTCACAAACGTAATCAATACTGGAGCTCAAACTTTGTTATACCTGAGATTTCACTAAATTTAAACTTTGCACCCCCTAATCCTAGCAGAGTAACTGCATATAGAATAGAGGACACATAGTTATGCCTCATATTTTTTACCTTGACTAAATTTCCTGTAGTCATAGAAGACTTTGTCCATAGGGGACATGGATGCTCTGACCTAATGAGTAACAAATTGAAATTAAACCATTTGCACTTACACATTGACTTCACAAATGTAACCTTACAGAACTCCCTCTCCTGTTTTTTTTTAAATTTGATTTATTTTTAATTTTTCATTTTTTTAGAGATGGGGTCTTGCTCCATTACCCAGGCTGAACGAAGTGTGGTGGCACAATCATAGCTCACTGCAGCCTCGAACTCCTGGACTTAAGCAATCCTCCCATTTTAGCCTTCCAAGTAGCTGGGATTACAGGCATGCACCAACACAGCCAATTAAAAAAAATTTATAGAAGTGCAGTCTTGCTACGTTGCCTAGGCTGGTCTCTAAATTCTGGCCTCAAGCAATCCTCCTGTCTTGGCCTCCCAAAGTGCTGGGATTACAGGTGTGAGCCATGGTGCCTAGCCTCCCCATCTTGATAAATTAGCAAATATGGTCCAATAGAAATTACAACATGACTTCAAATAAATAAAACTTATTATATAAGACCTAATTAATTAGTGAAGGGGTGATTATCCTCATTGCTTCAACATTTAGCAGTAGAATTTGGCCTGTTCTTAAACCTGCAAAGAATAAATGGTGTTTCACAGTGGATTGCTGTAATGTGACTGCAGCGTTCCCATCCATTAAGGCCCTCGTACCCAATGCTAAATATTATTGTGGTTAATTTTTTTTTTATTTCAATAGGTTTTTGGGGAATATGATGGGTTTTTTTTATTTCAATAGGTTTTTGGGGAACAGGTGGTGTTTGGTTACATGAATAAGTTCTTTAGTGGCGATTTCTGAGATTTGTGGTGCACCCATCTCCCAAGCAGAGTACACTATACACAATGTGTAGTGTTTTATCCCTCACCGCACCCACCTCACCACTGCCAGCCTTTCCCTGAGTCCCCGAAGACCATTGTATCATTCTTATGCCTTTGCATCCTCATAGCTTAGCTCCCATGTCTGAATGAGAACATACAATGTTTGGTTTTCCATTCCAAAGTTACTTCACTTAGAATAATGGTGTCCAGTTTCATCCACGTTGCTGTGAATGCATTACTTCATTCCATCTTATGGCTGAGTAGTATTCCATGGTAAATATTTATATCACATTTTCTTTATCCACTTACTGATTGATGGGCATTTAGGCTGGTTTCAAATTCTTGCAATTGCATATTGTGCTGCTATAAACATGCGTGTGCAAGTATCTTTTTCATATAATGACTTATTTTCCTCTGAGTAGATACCCAGGAGTGGAATTACTGGATCAAATGATAGATCTGCTTTTAGTTCTTTGGAAATCTGCTCACTGTTTTCCATAGCTGTTGTACTAGCTGGCATTCCCTCCAAAAAGTGTAAAAGTGTTCCCTTTTTAACACATCCATGCCAACATCTATTAGTTTTTGATTTTTTGATTATGTCCATTCTTGCAGGAGTGAAGGGGTTATCATATTGTGCTGTGGTTTTGATTTGCATTTCCTTGATAATTAGTTATGTTGAGCATTTTTTTCATGTGTTTGTTGGCCAGTTGTGTATCTTCTTTTGAGAATTGTCTGTTCATGTCCTTAGCCCACTTTTTGATGGGATTTTTTTTTCTTGCTGGTTTGTTTGAGTTCCTTGCAGATTCTGGCCATTAGTCCTTTAATCAGAAGTACAGATTGCAAAGATTTTCTCCCACTCTTTAGGTTATCTGTTTACTCTGCTGATTATTTCTTTTGCTGTGCAGAAACCTTTTAGTTTAATTAAGTCTCATCTATTTATCTTTGTTTTAGTTGCATTTGCTTTTTGGGTTATTGGTCATGAAGTCTTTGCCTAAGCCAATGTCTAGAAGGGTTTTTCCAATGTCGTCTTCTAGAATTTTTATAGTTTTAGATATTAGATTTAAGTCCCTGATCCATCTTGAGTTGATTTTTGAAAAAGGTGAGAAATGAGCATCCACTTTCATTATTCTATGTGTGGCTTGCCATTTATCCCAGCACCATTTGTTGAATAGGGTATTCTTTCTCTGCTTTATGTTTTTGTTTGCTTTGTTGAAGATTAGATGACTGTAAGTATTTGGCTTTATTTCTGGGTTCTCTATTATGTTCCATTGATCTATATGTCTATTTTTATACCAGTACCATGCTGTTTTGGTGACTATGGCCTTCTAGTATAGTTTGAAGTCGGCTTCTAGATTTGTTCTTTTTGCTTAGTCTTGTTTTGGCTATACAGATTCTTTTTTGGTTCTAGGCTTTTATTACCTTAAGGTATGTTCCTTCTATGTCTTTTTTAGTTCCATGTGAATTTTTGTAGTTCTGTGAAGACTGATGTTGGTACTTTAATGGGGATTGCATTGAGTTTGTAGATAGCTTTTGGCAGTATGGTATTTTCACAATATTGATTTTACCCATCCGTGAGCATGAGATATGTTTCCATTTGTTTGTATCTATGATTTCTATCAGCAGTGTTTTGTAGTTTTCCTTGTAGAGGTCTTTGTCTCTTTGGTTAAGTATTCCGGATATTATTAAGATTTTGTATGCAAAGATTGCATGCAATTGACAACTATAGGAATATACTATTATAATTATATTATAATTATAATCATATATATATAATCATAATATTCCTCAGGTTTTTATTGCAGCTATTGTAAAAGGTGGTGAGTTTTTGATTTGATTCCCAGCTTGTTCACTGTTACAGTATAGCAGAGCCACTGACTTGGGTACATTAATTTTGTATCCTGAAACTTTGCTAAATTCATTTACCAGTTCTAGTAGCTTTTGGGATGAGTCTTTAGGGCTTTCTAGGTATACGATCATGTCATCAGCAAAGAGTGACAGTTCGGCTTCCTCTTTACTGATTTGGATGCCCTTTATTTCTCTTATCTGATTGCTCTGGCAAGGACTTCTAGTACTGTGTTGAATAGAAGTGGTGAAAGTGGGCATCATTGTCTTGTTCCAATTCTCAGGGGGAATGCTTTCAACTTTTCCCCATTCAGTGTAATGTTGGCTGTGTGTTTGTCATATATAGCTTTTATTACCTTAAGGTATGTCCCTTCTATGTTGATTTTGCTGAGGGTTTTAATCATAAAGGGATTCTGGATTTTGTCAAATGCTTTTTCTATGTCGATTTTGCTGAGGGTTTTAGGCATAAAGGGATGCTGGATTTTGTCAAATCCTTTTTCTGCATGTATTGAGATGATCTTGTTATTTTTGTTTTTAATTCTGTTTATATGGCACATCACATTTATTGACTTGCAGATGTTTAACCGTCCTGCATCCCTCGTTTCTCTTCAGATCGTATACATCTTTCACCTTATGATGGTTAATTTTATTTGCCAAGTTGGGTTGCCTAGATATTTGGTTAAACACCCTGGATGTGTCTGTGAGGGTGTTCCTTGATGAGATGAACATTTGAATATGTAGACTTAGTAAAGTAGTTGCCGTCCCCAGTGTGAGTGGGCCTCATCCAATCCATTAAAGCCCAAATAAAACACAAGGGTAGAGGAAGAGATAATTCACTCTCTTTGATGCTTTCAGAGCTGAGACGTAGATCTTCTCTTGCCTTTGAAGTCAGACGTGGACTGTAACTTATGCCATCAGCTTTCCTGGTTCTCAGGAATTTAGGCTTGGACTGGAACTCCACCATTGGCAGTCCTGGGTCTCCAGCTTGCTGACTGCAGTCCCTGGGACTTGTTAGCTTCCATAACCACATGAGCCAATTCCTTATAATAAACCTATATATATTCATGCAACTGGTAAATATTTTGTTGTTATAGATTTGGCTAACATGTTCTTTTTGTGCCTATTTTAACAGAGTCTCAATCATAGCATTCCTTCCTCTCTGAAGGGACCAGGTAACACACGGAGTGCCTTGGCAGCCTCATCATTGCATGCAATCTTCACAGACAATATCTCACTGCAGCCACCTTTCTACAGGAGTACAGGTGTGACATTATACTGATGACATCATTCTCAGAGAAAATTCATTTTATACACTAAGGACACACAGACACAAAGAGCCTTATACAAAGGGAATGGACCTTTCCCCAACACAGCAGTGCAAGGCCCTGCCACTTTGCTTCAATTCCTGAAAATTCCTTGGTAAACTTGGGGCTGCTCTATTCCTGACACTTTCAAGAAATAGTTATTCATCCTCTCAGCATCCACAATGTTAATACAAGCCCAACATTCTTTAATTTGTGTTTTGTTTTTTGGAGACACAGTCTTGCTCTGTCACCCAGGCTGGTATGAAGTGGCATGATCTGAGCTCACTGCAGCCTCGACCTCCTGACCTCAAGCAATTCTCCCATTTCAGCTTTCCAAGTAGCTAGGACTACAGGTGTGTGCCATGACACTCAGCTAATTTTGTTTATTTTTTTGTAGAGAAAAGCTCTCGCTATGTTACCCAGGCTGGTCTCGAACTCCTGGGCTCAAGCGATCCTCTGGCCTCGGCCTCCCAAAGTTCTGGGATTACAGGTGTGAGTCCCTGTGCCCAGCCCTTTAATTCTTTACTTGGGGTTCAGGTGACTACATATTTCTTAATTACAAATTTTACTTAATCTCGCTGATGCTGTCACTTGAAAGCTGACCCACCTTGAATGAAGCCTCCTCCAACAAGTCTGGAATCCATCCGAATTTAAATTAACAGGCGCTCCTATGAATTTCATCAGAGAACACACTGTAGATGCTTTAGCAGCCTCTTCCCATGCCTCCTGAAGTATCTGGTTTGCATGTGGTGGCCATAAGTAGTCCATGGGCTTCTGATGTAAAAAACAAACCTGCCTCTTTTGACCCTGTGCTGTACAGCATCAGGGCAGTGATTGCTGGCCACATACTGGACCCTTGAAAGAGAGGGCTCTGCATCCATGTCCATGAGCCTTCATGCCCATCTGGCCATCAGGCCTTGGGAAGCAGCACCCCACAGCTTTGGCACAGCTGCAGAGACCTCCTTGCCTCCGAATGGAGTCAAATCTGTACCCCCTGCAATTCTCATCTGCAGGAAGCACTGGCCTCCTTCATCCTTAGGCTATAATGCTGACACTGGCCTCCTTCATCCTCAGACTGTGGTGCTGGATGTCACCCCTCTGCGAGGCCCTTGGGATCGACTGAGAGACCAGCAGTGAAGTTCGTCCACCTTCTGAATGGATGCCATGATCGGACGTGATGGAGCTCAGTGGGATGCTGCTGCTTTCCCTCCCTTAGCTAGGATGTCCCTGATAAAGGATGACACCCAAGCCTCAGCACAACTGGCCAAACTTGAGGTGGTCATCATAGCACTGATGCTGGGCCAACAATTAGCCCCACTTGTACCTTTTTACAAACTTTTTGACAATTGCCAAGAATTGTCCACCTTCCCTCCCCATTGAATTAAATAAACTTCTTGTCTCATGGATACTCAGAATACCAAACAAGGTAACAGATGCCTTTATTTTAACTCAGGACACAGTACAGCTCTCACAGGGACACTCCTTATCCCTTGCAGAGTTCCAGACACTACTGATGATCACCAAAGCAACATTTCATCAGAAAACACAGTGCTGGGCTTGTGAAGAAGGTGTCCAGCAGAGCTTCCACTGCCCCTGTAGGATGCAGGCAGCTGCTTCAGTTGAGAGATACACTGAGCTCCTCAAAGAATTCCTATTTAAGGTACAAAGAATCGAGTGGATGCCCTGCTGGATACCACTGTTGCCACAGGATTTGATTACTCTAAGTTCATGCTCCTTAGGAAAGTGCACTTTTTACACCAATGCTAGACAGTCCCCTCAGTTGCCTTTACTGGACATCAAGGAGTTCACATTTTTGACAACCTTTCAGTCCTGAACTGTCCAAGGGGTGGAGGTAGCTCCATACAGGAAGCTGCCTGCTGCGTGTGGATCAGTAATATCAGACTTGCCCAACAACTCACTGGAGACATGAAAACCAATGCATGGGGGATGCATGACATCACCCAAATATTTACCAACACGCTTGTGCTGCCAGAGATCCCAGATCACTTTTCCTGCTTCCTGCTAAGCAAATGGGAGCAGTAGCTTCTCATCAGCTTCCACATTTCATTACTCATAATTGTGGCCTTCCTAATGTCTCATGCCCCTAAGCACTTATTACAATGTCTCAACAGCCTTCTCTCAGCCTCTCAAAATATTAGTCATCATTAAAATAAATGTCTGATTTTAAAGCATCAGGGTCAATTTTACTGTGACACCTAAAATTTCATGCTGCATCCCACCAGGTCCTCAGCCTAATGGCTTTCATGCCCCCAACAGACTGCTAAACTCTTTGAATTAGTCAAGCACATCCCTCAAGGGACCAAGGGTTACCCCACCCTCTGATTTCTACCAAGCCTGCCTCCCGCACCCTGTGCTCCAGAGTGAACCCCCGGGTAGACCTGCATAGATGCAGTGTCATCCCCTGTTGGGCTGAGTATGCGCGATGAATAAATTACCGTGAATTTCATCTGCTCAGTGTTTGTTGTGTCTGCAGCCATCCCCAGAATTCTAGGGCAAGACTAATTTCTTCATCAATGGCGTGAACAGGAAGGAACCCAACTAGGAATTGCCTTTTTAAAAAAAATCCCTTCCCACCCTCTTAATTATGTAATGCATGCATTTTATAGCTTTTTTGCTCATTCCATTATCTGAGGTCAGGCACTCATATTTAACCCATCTTTAGCCTCGGAGGAGGGCAGAGGAACAGTGGTCATATTTATTTCCCTAGTGGCGAAGACATGGTTTCCTCCCGTGCTACTCAAATTCACTCCTTCTTTAACTTGATGCTCAGTAGGTTGTGTTTCACTTGTCTTTGCAGATTGTTAGGAAGATGAGAATCAGCTTTCATTTTTGATGTTGCCATAGAGAAGGCTCTATGGTAATGCTTATTTTCACAGTCAACTTTCTCTTCTTTTCCCCCAGACAGAAATTGCAAACTCTTAGGTGAGTCACAGCTTTCTGGAGTCTGAAAACATAGATTATTTTCCCTCTTTTGATGGCAAATTTCTTATATCCCCACCAAAAATAAACTACTTACATATAATTTTGGCGTGTCATATTGATTACCAACTACACATAAAAACATTCCTTGATTTTAAATCTACATTAATTATAAAAATTTGGGTAGTCACAAAAAATTATAGTGTACAAATTTATAGACCTTAGGACTAAATGAGTTACTATTAACTAATATTTATTGTGCAGTTAGTGCATGGCAGAAGCTTCCTATGTACTATTTCATTTTATATGTAAAACAATATTCCATGGAAAATGTTATAATCTCCCCGTGCCTCCAATTTGGATGTGATAAAATGGCATCGTAAAGTTTTCACCCCAGAGTTCTCTGCTTAGTAAAAAGTAGAAGGAAGTCTAAACCTAAGTCACCTGATTTCAGAGCCCATATAGTTAAATGCTCTAAATGCAGATTCCCAGGGTGGTGGTTTCTATGAGAGCCTGTCACATACGATGTAGGACAGTGCTTCCCTGTAACGTGTGCAAGATTCCCTTGATGATGGTGACTATGAGAGCCTGTCACATATGATGTAGGACAGCACTTCCCTGTAACATGGGCAAGATTCCCGTGATGATGGTGACTATGAGAGCCTGTCACATGGGATGTAGGACAGTGCTTCCTCTGTAACATGCACAAGATTCACCCGGGGATCTTATTAAAATGCAAACTCATAGACCACACTTTGACTAGCTAAGATAAGAGCATTTAAATGGATGCCCTGGTGACAGTGCTAAGATGCTACTGTTCATGTGGGCACTGGCTCACCATATTAACAAAACATAGGACTTCCAGTCCCTGCTGGAAAAGAAATACAGACACATAGGATGTGACTGTGCATATGGAATATCTGTTGTGTTCTGGACATTGTACTAGACACTAGAGATAAAAAGTCAAATATCCCTTGCCTCTATCTGAAAGGAGCTTCCTACTCAGTGGCTTCTGACTGCAGTGTATATTTTCTCTTCTGATCTGGGAGAGTGAGCTCTACCTCAATGTTGGTAACTGAACACTGCCCAGTGGATTTGACGGGGAGACCATAGGTAGCTGTGTTCCTACATAGCTATGATCATAGCATATCTCGTGATGCCATTTCCCCCTTGTCAAAAGGCTCCCTCCAGTATCATACATGCTCCCCATGATTATACATTCTTCCTCCTTGCACCAAATGTTCCTAAATCTTGTAAAGATAAAAACATAAACCACATTCTTGTCATATTAATTATATATTAATGATGAAAGTTCCTTACTTTTCATGTGTTTAATATTTTCTCCCAATTTATAGAATATATTGATTAATATAAGAATAAATTTTAGCCATGAATATCTATTACAAACTTCATTATATACTTTGCTATTTTTAAATTTCTTATGCTCTTATAAAATGTGTGTTCTGGACTCACGTTGGCTTCCATTTCTTCCCTCTGGCTTCTATTAGTTTAGGTTATGAGCAGAGATGGACGGGGTGGCTGCTGTATTGGATCAAGGATATGAGCAGAGATGGATGAGGCAGCGGCTGTAATGGATCAAGGCTATGAGCATCTTGTGAAGTAGGATGTTAAATCTGCAAATATCAGAGTGAATCCAAACTTATCAATTCAACACTGGATTGTAAAACAGTTCAAAAAAGACTAAAAACACAGCTCTACGCTTTAGGAGGTTGAGGCAAGCAGATTGCTCGAGCTCAGGAGTGGGAGACAAGTCTAGGAAACATGGAAAAACCCTGTCTCTACAAAAAAATTTTTTTTAATTAGCTGGGTATGGTGGTATAAGCCTGTGGTTCCAGCTTCTCAGGAGGCTGAGGTGAGAGGATTGCTTGAGCCCAGAAGGTAGAGGCTGCAATGAGCTCTGATCACACCACTGCATTCCAGCCTAGGTGACAGAGTGAGACCCTGTCTCAAAAACAAACAAACAAACAAAAACAAACAAAAACAGCTCTAAACAAATGTGGCTAGAAAATTAGCTCAAGTTGTTCCTGTCTGGTGAAATACAAACATAAATGAATTATTTATGTGCCCCAGTGGCTTCCTGATGTTGAGAGCAAAGCCAGTTGTTCTGGCAGGTTCTGGAAAAATTTATCACATCATGGGGTTCAATGCCAGTGTCAAATCATAAATATAATAATCAAATCTGAAAGTGAACCCAGTTTCAGAGACATCCAGAAGCCACTGTGTATGAAGCTCCTTTCAGATAGAGACAAGAGATTATTTGACTTCTTATCTCTGTTGTCTAGCACAATGTCCAGAACACAACAGATATTCCATATGCACAGTCACATCCTATGTATGTGTATTTCTTTTCCAGCAAGGACTAGAGGTCCTAAGCTTTGTTAATATGGTGAGCCAGTGCCCAAATGAGCAGTAGAATCTTAGCACAGTCACCTACACACTTATTTCGATGCTCTGATCCCTTATCTTAGCTAGTCAAAGCGTGGTCTATGAGTTTGCATTTTAATAAGATCCCCGGGTGAATTTTGTGCATGTCAAAGGAAGAGAAGCACTGCCCTCAAAATATAGAGCAGGTGAACTAAATTATTAATTTATAGAGGTAGGCTGGCTATTTATTTATGCATCTTGTTGATGGGAAGATTCAAATTGATATACACAATCACCCCCATAAGGATTTCAGGTAAAAAACAAACAAAGGTTTAGATATTAGATATATTTTACAATTACCACATCAGTCTTTTTACTACAGCATCTAGTAGCACATTTCCCATAGATTTAGATGGAAATTTTCATCCCATAAGCCTTCTGTTAGTATTTTTAAAATTGAATACTCAATAAATAGTGGCCAAGTTGAATCTCTTAGAGGAATCTCACTCAAACTACAGTTATATTTTCCAATAGACCCCACAAAAATCATTGCTCTAGAGTAATCTAATATATTTATCCACCTCTTTAGACACTTAGGTAAGTATAATAATACAAGTTTTGTGTGTGTGTATGTGTGTGTGCATGTGTGTGTATTGTGTACCTTGTGGCCTCTTGCCCAGTTTCTGCAACACCTGAAGCTGATGCATGTTTAATGTAAATAATGTCCAGCAATGTTACAAATGTTGACTTTTATGTGCCCATCAGGAAAAAAAAGATGAATATTATTGTAGAGGAAATTTTCATTCTGGAAAAATGCATACTATTTGAATATTATTTTCATGCTTTCCACAGATATTACACATAGATATTATACTCCAAGGATTATGTTTCAAAGTCATCAAAAATAGAAAATACATCTATATTTCTAACTGAAAAGAATAACAGTAAGTAGCCCACCTTTGGGGAAATGTGATAAAAATATTAATGACCATCACAACTCATTAAAAGCATAAATTGTGCAATGATTTAAACTACATGTTCTTCATATGAATCTGTGTAGAAATATAGACACATTGGATAAATGCTATTTCAAGTCTGAGTGCTTTGGTAAATGATTCAGTCATCTGTAGGTTGAAGTGATTACTTTTATCTGCCTTCATAGTGAGAATTAGATTTCTATTCTTTATAAAGCAGGGAATACAGATTGTGCATGGAGTAAAAGCATACAATCCTTATTAATAATGATGGCAGCTAAGCTGCAGAGGAGAAAGCCTGCCAGAGTAACGTATTCAGTTTTACATCATAATCAGAGGTGTGTCCATCTCTGTTGAAGGCAGAATTAAAAACCCCTTCAACATTTTTAAAATAATAGATGAAAAACATCTCAAAGTCTCCTTTAAAATTTGAATTGACGATTCCACATAAAAGGAAGGGACCAAGAATATCTTAAAGAAATACTTCACGATGGAAGTGATGTTTTAAGTGAAATTTCATCAAGGAGAAGTTTTTCCAAAAAGTCTTTTTACCTCAGGAAGAATCTCATTAGTTTATTCTGTAAATAGTTCCTAGTAAAATGATGAAGACTTGATTTTTCAATAACAATAAAAAACTTAGATGGTTTAATCTAATGTTGTGATTTCGAAAGTGCTTCTTGTGCAATTATAGTTAAGCATGTGTATTTATATGCATTTTCTTAGCTCATTCAAACGCCAATAAAATAGTTTATTATCCAGGCTCCTTAAAACCTGAATTAAGTTCTAAAAGTGAGTATTGTATGTACTCTGTGAGGTGTGCGAAGACGTATGTGTGTGATGTATATGTATGGTGTGTGTGTGTGGTCTGTGTGTGTAGTAAGTGCATGGGGTACGTATATGTGTGTGTGGTGTGTACTGTGGGTGTCGTGTGAATACTGTGGGTGGTGTATGGTGTGTGTATGTGTTGTGTTTGTGGTGTATGTGTGTGGCGTGTACGGGTACTATGTGTGGTATGGTGTGCTTGTGATATGTGTGTGTGCAGTGTGTGTGGTGTATGTGATGTGTGCGTTTTGTGTGTGTATGGTGCTGTGTGTGCAGTGTGTGTAGTGT
>NC_000020.11:29447883-29452158 GCF_000001405.40 Homo sapiens | reverse complement strand
GCGTGATTCCTGGTTATTTCAGGGGAGACTATAGTTTAGTGTCCAAAAACACAAAGGGTGGAGTCTGAAAGATCTGGTTTTGCCACTTATCTTTTGGGAACCTCAGTTTCTTTAATCTGGTAATAACAGGCCTTACTGCTCAGGGCTGTTGGGAGGACAGAGTGAAAGATTGGCATTTAAAGGCTCTGCACACAGCAACTTCTGAATCACCGATCCTGGTCAATGGAGAAGCAGCATGACACAGTAGCTACGGAACACAGTTTCAGGGGCCAGGCTGCCTCGGTTTGAATACTAGCTCTGTCACTTGTTGAACTGTATAGTCTTCAAATTACTCACCTTCTGTGTGCCTCAGTTTTCCCATTACTCAAGTACGTATAACAATGGTGCTTAACACCAAATGGCTTTAAGACCTAAAAGCAAAAGGTCAAACTACAAAGTTAATAGAAGATAATGGCAGAGGCCGGGCGCGGTGGCTCACGCCTGTAATCCCAGCACTTTGGGAGGCCGAGGTGGGCGGATCACGAGGTCAGGAGATCGAGACCATCCTGGCTAACACAGTGAAACCCCGTTTCCACTAAAAATACAAAAAATTATACGGTGTGGTGGCGGGTGCCTGTAGTCCCAGCTGCTTGGGAGGCTGAGGCAGGAGAATGGCGTGAACCCGGGAGGCGGGGCTTGCAGTGAGCGGAGATCGCGCCACTGCACTCCAGCCTGGGGGAAAGAGCGAGACTCCATCTCAAAAAAAAAAAAAAAAAAAAAAAAAATAGCCAGGCATAGTGTTGCATGCCTGTTGTCCCAGCTACTCAGGAGGCTGTGGTAGAAAAATCACTTGACCCAGCAGTTAGAGGCTGCAGTGAGCTATGATCATGCCACTGCACTCTGTCCTGGGCGACAGAGCGAAACCCCATCTCAAAACAAGGAACAAACAAAAACCTACAAGCATACTCAGAGATAGTGTGGGTTTGGTTCCAGACAACCGCAATAAGGCAAATGTTACAATCAAGTTAGTCACATAAACATTTTGTTTCCCAGTGCTTATAAAAGTTATGCTTAAACTATGTTGTAGTCTAATGAGTATTTAATAATTAATTATTAATTAATTAATTAATTTGTAACCGCATTACTTCTAAAAAGCTATGTACATACTTTAACTTAAAATTCCTCATTGCTGAAAGATACTAATGGATATCTGAGCCTTACCAAGTCATAATGTTTTTGCTGGTGAGGGTCTTGCCTCTATATTGATGGCTGCTGACTGATCAGCATGGGGGCTGCTGAAGGTTGGATGCCTGTATCAATTTCTTAAAACAACGAAGTTTGTTCCTTTCACAAAAGATTTCCCTGTAGCATGTGATGCTGTTTGATAGCATTTTATCCACAATAGAACTTCCTTCAAAATTAGAGTAAACCCTCTCAAACCCTGCTGCTGCTTTATCAACTAGGTTTGTGGAATATTCTAAATCCTTTGTTGTTATTTCAACAATGTTCATAGCGTCTCCACCTGGAGTAGATTCCACCTCAAGAAAATATTTTCTTTGCTCGTCCATAAGAAGCAACTCCCCATTTGTTCAAGTTTCATCATGAATTCAGAGCAATTTAATCTCATCTTAAGGCCCTAATTCTAATTCTGGTTGCATTGCGATTTCTACCACATCTGTAGGGACTTCCTCCACTGACATCCCAAGCCCTCAAAGTCATCCATGAGGCCTGGAATCAACTTCTTCCAAACTCCTGTTAATGTTGATATTTCAACCTCCTCCCATCAATCACAAATGTCCTTAATGTAATTTAAGGATTGCTATTAAGGACATTTGTGATTCACGGGAGGAGGTTCAAATATCATGAAAGGATTAATGGTGAATCCTTTCCAAAAGGTTTTCAATTCAGTTTATCCAGATTCATCAAAGACATCACTATCTATGATAGCTATACCTTTACAAAATGCATTTATTAATTAATAAAAACACTTGAAAGCCAAAACCACTCCTTGATCCACAGGCTGAAGGACAGATATTGTATTAGCAGCCATGAAAATAACATTAATTTCCAAGTACATCTCCATCTAAGCTTCTGGGTAGCTAGGTGAATTGTCAATAAGCAATAATCTTTTTTCCTTTTTTCTTTTCTTTCCTTTTTTTTTTTTTTTCCTTTATGTAGTTTCACTCTTGTTGCCCAGGCTGGAGGGTAGTGGCATGGTCTCAGCTCACTGCAACCTCTGCCTCCAGGGTTCAAGCCATTCTTCTGCCTCAGCCTCCCAAGTAGCTGAAATTACAGGTACGACCACCATGCCAGGCTAATTTTTTTGTATTTTTAGTAGAGACGGGGTTTCACCATATTGGCCAGGCTGATCTCAAATTCCTGGCCTCGTGATCCACCCACCTCGGCCTCCCAAAGTGCAGGGATTACAGGTGTGAGCCACTGCACCTGGCCAAGCAGCAATCTCTTTAAAGGAATCGTTTTTTTTTTTTTTTCTTCTGAGCAGTAGGTCTCAATAGTGGGATTAAAATATTCAGTAAACCATGCTGTTAACAGATGTGTTGTCACTCAGACTGTGATGTTCCATTTCTAGGGAACAGAAAGAATAGACTTGCATAATTCTTAAGGGCCCTGAGATTTTCAGAGTGGTCAAATGAGCATTGGCTGTAACTTAAAGTCACCAATTGCAGTGGTCCTCAAAGAGAGTCAGCCCATCCTTTGAAGTTTTGAAGCCAAGCGTTGACGTCTCTCTAGTGATGAAAATTTTACATCTTCACTAAGCTTAATCCTTTCTAGCTCTTGACTTAAACTAAGAGACGTGCAGTTCTTCCTTTCATTTGAGCTCTTTGAGGCCACTGTGGTTACTAATTAACACCCCTGGCGGGTGTCAACCTCCTCCCTCAATCGAGTTCACCCACACCGGGGCATGGGGAACGGGGCTTCCTGCACCCCACACACTCTGTGTGCCTGGGGCTCTCCCACAGGGGGCTTTCGTGAGCCAGGCAGCAAGGCCTGGCCCAGCCTGGCCCTGGCCGAGCCAGGCCCTGCCCCAGCCAGGCCGTGCCAGCCCAGCCAGGCTGCACAGGCAGAAGGAATCTCCCAACCTGCCCCGGCATGCGAGGATTTTGTGTTCGCTGCCCTGGCTCCTCCAGAAGTGGGGTTGTCCCACACTCAGACTCCTCGGTGGCCTCTGCACCCCAACAAATGCCAGGAGGACCAGGACCCACAGCACGACGGCCTGCTGGGCGCGTGCTCAGTGGGACAGCTTGGGCCCCCTCAAGCTGAGTCACAGGGCCAAGGTGTGCTTGCGCCACCCACGTCCCACCGGAGTCTGCGGTGGGACTAGAGCCCCAGGTCGCCAGGGCTGCATGGGAAACCAAAGACTGGGCACCTCCAACTCCGAAGCTCGTGACCCCGGAGGCCTCCGTGTCAAGCACAGATGGAAGCCATTCAGGAGCCTCCCAACCGCTCCAGGAGGCAAGGCGCTCCTCTGCACTCACCCCCAGCCTATTAGATGAGCTCCTGTCGACCCTAGAGTTTCAGCAAAAGGCACAACCTTTCCTAGATCCGGCGCCACTGGGGGAGCTGAAGGACGTGGAAGAGCCCACTCTGCTGGAACCACTCTTCAGCCAGGAAGAACACCGGGCTCTGCTGGAGGAGCTTTAGGACGCGGGGTTGGGGCGGCGGCCTCTCTTTCGCGGTGAACTTCTGACTCGGTATGGAGAGGCGTGTCTTCCCTTCCAGCTGACCTGCCTAGGATCCCTGAGTTCCAGGTCCCGTGAGAGACCCCACACAGTGGAGGGCTGTCATTCTTTCCTGAGCATCCCGGGGATCCCAGAGCCCGTCCAGGTACCGGGAGGTGAACCGTCTACTGCTCATGCGCGGGTTTGCAGGCGGAGCTCTCATCCCTTTCCCCCCCACCCACTCGCGTTCTTCAGTAGAGTGGGCGGAGACCTCCATCCCGGGAAACACTGGCCCGGGCAGCCACCAGGCCTGCTCTTCTTTCCTCGTCTGGCTACCTCTGCCTCCCCCCGCCACCGTCACTCGCCTACCCGTGCCCCGCCAGCTTCCTCGCTATCACCGTGGAGCGCCTGACAGCTAAATGCAGACCCGAGACCCCGCGCAAACCGGGGTGCTGCCCTTTCTACGCGGGAGGGAACTCAGGCAGAGATGGGGAGAGGAACGGAGACAGAGAGGGAGGGAGCGATGGAGGGAGGAAAGAACGGATGGACGGAGGGACCTTGGAAGGGATGGAGGGATAGAGGGAGGAAGAGAGGGAAGGAGGGAGGGAGGAAGGGA